>NW_025791759.1:0-250447 GCF_000001405.40 Homo sapiens
ATATTTAAAGAGACAGCCCATCTATCCAAAAACATTAGTCAACTATTACTAGATAGTATTTGGTTAAGTGAAAGTTGAGTGAAAAAAAAAACAACAAAAAATAGAATTTAGACCCAGACTGAAGTGAGCTCAGTGTGAGCTGAAGACTTCAAATAAAGCTTCAAAGAAGAAGTGATGTTAACAGAAACTCTGAAATTATTGTATTATTTGTATTGATTTGATATTTTTCCTTGGATTTTATTCTAAGAAAAAGCTAGCCTGTGCCAAATTGCAGAGTGCCTCACAAAGTCTGAATGTATGTACCTGCCAAATCTCATGTTGAATCATGATCCCCAGTGTTGGAGGTAGGGCCTGGAGGGAGGTGTTTGGATTGTGGGGGTGGATCCCTCATGAATGGCTTAGGCTATCCCCTTGGTGATAAGCGAGCTCTTGCTCTGAGTTCCCATGAGATCTGATCATTTAAAAGTGTGTGACATCTCCTCCCCCAGCTGACTCTCTCTCTTTTCCTCCTGCTTGTGCCATGTGGAGTGCCTGTTCCCACTTTACCTTCTGCCATAATTGTGCTTCCTGAGGCCTCCCCAGAAGCTGAGCAGATGCTAGCACCATGCTTCCTGTAAAGCCTATAGAACCAATTAAACCTCTTTTCTTTATAAATTACCCAGTCTCAGGTATTTCTTTATAGCAATGCAAGAAAAGCCTAATACAGCACCCTTTAAAAAGGTAGTAAAAAATCTGGTCTTCAAAAGTAGATTAGCTGGCTTTCAGTTCCAACATGCAAAAGCTTAGAAGTCATCAGTTCCATTCTATCAACAACAGCAACAACAAAGAAGATAAATAAACAAAATTAGCAGCTTTTCATGAATACCTCAGAAAACTGAGATTGCAGGGCAAATTGCCACCCCTAAATCTGGAAAAACAGGTGAATCCAGAGAACCACATGAAGACAGCTTACTGCTGGGGAAGCCCTGGAGCCATAAACTGGAACACTTAAACAACAATTTTGACAAATTTCAGAAGGCTAATGTGAGAATTATCCTGAGAATGAGAAACTCCTAGGTGCTGCAATCTTAGGGGCACCCACATACTTTTGTGAGTTTTATCTCCAGACACCACACAGTGTTCTTATGGTGAAGAGCGGTCAGAAAAAATTCATGGCTCAGGTAGAAGGAGGGAAAGAATAACTTGTAGAATACAACCTGACTGTTCTTCATAGCAAAGACTTACTCTCCAGGGGTAAAGATTTATCAGAGCCTTATCCCACCTAGGGGAAAATAATTTCTCTCACTCTAGCCCTCTCTAGCATTCCTATTTCACCTGAGTGAGGAGAGAGGACAAGACACCCTTGTGAAGGTCACATTCCAGGAACACAGGCCCACTAAAAGAGTGAGACTTAATAATAAGATTACAGAATGCTCCTCACTCCCACACCTTACTGTCAGATCAAAAGGACTCTGGTATAAGGGTGGGTCACAGTTAAAAGAGCTGCAAGATTTAAACTCTCTCTGAAGAGGAGTACTTAGGGAATCTCAAAGTTAACAGAGTAGAATAAACAAGGATACTAGAGGAATTTAGTCTCTGGCCTCTATCGATATAGCAAACATTAAATATAGCCCAAATCTTAGCCAGATTAACATAAAACTTCACATTAAATTCATGTTTACTTCAGTTTCTATTGCCCAATATATCATGTGCAGCTTTCAACAAATATTGCAAAATGTGCCAGAAGACAAGGAAAAATGCAGTTTGAAGAGACAAAGCAAGAATCAGAAAGAAAGTCAGATATAACATAGATTTTGGAATTATCAGATAACATAATTATCTGATAATTACCTAACATAATTAATATGTTAAGAGTTATAATGACAAAAGTAGACAACTTGCCAAACAGATGGGTAATATAAAAGCAGAGATTAAAACTCTAAGAACAATAATAGGCGATCCTAGAAATCAAAAACATTGTAACAGAGATTAAAAAAATGTCTTTGATGGTCTCATCAGTAGACTGGACATGAGTAAGAAAAGAATCAGTGAACCTAAAGATAGACCAACTTCTCATACTGAAGTACAAAGAGAAAAAAAATGAAGAAAACAAAAAACAAAACAGAACATTCAAGAACTGTGGAACGATTTCAAAAGGTATAACATATGTGTAATTGGGATATTTGAAGGAGAAGAAAGAGACAGAAATATTTGAAGTAATAATAGAGAGAATTTTTCAAAGTTAACGACAAACCTCAAACTACAGATTCAGTAAGCTCAGATAACTACAAGCTGAAGAAATACCAAAAAATATACGAGAGGTGTGCATATCATTCAGATTGCAGAAAACCAAAGACAAAGAAAAAAATCTTAGAAAAAGCCAGGAGGAAAAATCGTATCATCTGACCTATAAAAGAACATGATAAGAATTATAGCAGACTTCTTGTCAGAAACCATGCAAGCAAGAAAAGAGTGAAGACAAATATTTAAAACTTGGAAAGAAAAAAAGCCACCCAACTAGAATAATGCATTCATCAAAAATACACTTCAAAGATGAAAGATCTTTTTCAACAAAATCACAAAGAATTTATTGCCAAGAAATTGGCCCCAAAATAATTTTAAAAGCAGTTCTCTAGGCATAAGGGCAAATTATGTTTCAGGAACCGGGATCTACCTAAAAAGAGGAAGAACAGGAGGGTGGCCAAGATGGCTGACTAGAAGCAGTTAGTGTGCACGGCTTGCCCAGAGAGGAACAGAAGGGGAGAGTAAACACAACGCCTTCAACTGAAACACACAGGTACTTGCACTGGGAGTAATCAAGGAAACAACTTAACCCACGAAGAATGAAGAAAAGCAAGACAGGACAACGACCCACCAGGGAGCAGCACAGAGCCAGGGAAACTTCCCCACTCAGGGAAGTGGTGAATGTGCGACCCCAGGAAACCATGCTTCTCTCACGGATCTTTGCAACCTTCCTTGTGAGCCCATCCCAGCAGGGCCTTCAATCTGACAGACAGAGCTATATGGAGTTTAGGCAGAGCAGCCGCTGAGGCATGTGTGGAGACCCTGGTGCCTTAAATAGTCCGGCTTTCCGGCAAAAGTAGCTGCAGCTCCAGCAAAGTGAAAGATTAGACCCCCATACATACCCCTAGGAAAGAGGCTGAATCCAGAGGCTGAGCAGTGACAGCCTGCAGGCCCCACTTCCACAGCACCTCCCAAGATAAGACCCACTGGCTTGGAATTCCAGCCAGCCACTGGTAGCCGCATTGCACCTCTCTAAGAAGGAGCTGAGTTGTAGGGGAGGCTGCCATCTTCGCTGTTCCAGGGCCTTAGCCATTCTATCCTTCAGACTTTGAAGAGTCCAAGCCGACTGGGGGCAGAAGGGATCCCCAAGCACAGCACAACACAGCTGCTCTAACAAAACGTGGCCAGACTGCTGCTTTAAGTGCGTCTCCAATCCCATGCCTCTTCACTGGACAGGATCTCCCAACTGGGGTCTCCAGCCACTCCCACTCATGTTCGCCCCTCAACAGAGATTTTATTTTTTTATTTAATTTATTAATTTATTTATTTTTGAGACGGAGTCTTGCTCTATCGCCCAGGCTGGAGAGCAATGGCGTGATCTCGGCTCACTGCAACCTCCCCCTCCCGGGTTCAAGCCATTTACCTGCCTCAGCCTCCCAGGTAGCTGGGACTACAGGTATGTACCACCATGCCTGGCCAATTTTTTTTTGTATTTTTAGCGGAGATGGGGTTTCACCATGCTTGCCAGACTGGTCTCGAACTCCCGACTTCAAGTGATCTGCCTGCCTCGGACTCCCACAGTGCTGGGATTACAGACGTGAGCCACCGCACTCTGCCTCAACAGATATTTTATTCCCCCTGGGGTGGCGCTCCCAGAGGGAGGGACAGGCTGCCATCTTTGCTGTTTGGGCAACTTAGCCAATTCAGCCTTCAGGCTTTGGAGGTCTGAGCTGACCGGGGCAGAAGGGATCCTCCAGCATAGCGCAGCTGCTCTACCGAAACATGGCCAGACTGCTTTTTTAAGTGGGTCCCTAATCCCATTCCTCCTCACTGGGCAGGACCTCCCAACCAGGGCCTCCAGCCACCCCCACTGGTGTTGTCTGGCAGACAGAGATTTGTAATCTCCCTGGGACAGAGCTCCCAGAGGGACGGGTAGGCCACCATCTTTGCTGTTTGGACAACTTAGCCATTCCAGACTTCAGACTTTGGAGTTTTTAAGGTGACCAGGGGTTGAAGCAGATCCCCAGCACTGCACAGCTGCTCTACCAAAACATGGCCAGACAGTATTTTTAAGTGGGCCCCCAATCCAGTTCCTCCTCAGTGGGCAGGACCTCCCAACTGGGGTCTCCAGCCACCTCCTACAGGTGCCTTTGGGCCTGCAACCTCCCTGGGACAAAGCTCCCAGAGGGAGGGACAGGCTGCCATCTTTGCTGTTTTGTAGCCTTCACTGGTGATACTTCCAGGTAGTGGAAAATCCAAGTTGACTAGGGACTGGAATGGGCCCCAAGCATACCATGGCACCCCTGCAGAAAAGTGGCCAGACTGTTATGTGGATGCCCATTCCCATATGTCCTCACCAGGCAGGTCCACCACGCCCAGGCCTCCAGCCACCCCCCGCCAGAGCTATCGAGCCAATAACAACTTGGCAATGCTCTGGACAGAACCTCCAGGAGCAACTGAAAGCCTCTGCTACTACGTCTGCAATGGAACTGCCCTTGCCATCCTTAGACAAAGGAGCAAAGACCCTAAGTGCCTTATCCATATCTCCAACAAGCTGTGGTCAACCCAAGGAGAGAAGGCCAGTCCATCTCCCATAGGTTCCCCACACCCCTGACTGGTTGTTGTAAGTCAGGGAACCCCTGGCACACATTTCCCTCTATAACCCTCCACCTTGGGCTGATTGCACTGAGCTGTTGCTGACCTGCATCTCTCTGGGGTGGAGCCCCCAGGAGACAAGCAAATGACACTTTACAGATAGCAATGAAGAGCATTGAGATTCAGGAGATGGCAAAACCCAGTCTAAGGAAAATAAGAATCACAATAAAGCAATACAGGAGCTGAAGGATGAATAGCTGGTGTTAAAAAGAACATAACAGGTCTGACAGAGCTCCATAACACAATACAATGATTTCACAATGCAAACACACGTATTAACAGCAGAATAAACCAAGTAGAGGAAAGAACATCACTACTTGAAGACTAGTTCTCTGAAATAGACAGACAGTTCTTAAAAGTACAGTTCTTATAAGTAAGAACATGTAGCAGTTGGCTTTCTGTTAAGAAACCAAAATTTGGTTAAGAATCAAATACTGCATGTTCTTACTTATAAGTGATAGCTAAATGATGAGGACACATGAACACATAGAGGGGAACAAGGCACACTGGGGCCTACTGGAAGGCAGAGTGTGGGAGAAGGGAAAGGATGAGGAAAATCAGGAAAAATAAATAATGGGTACTAGGCTTAATACCTGGATGATGAAATAATCTGTCCAACAAAGCCCCATGACATACATTTAACTGTGTAACAAACCTGCACATCCTGCATATGTACCACTGAACTTAAAATAAAAGTTAAAAAAAAAAGAATAAAAAATAATGAACAAAAGCTCTGAGAAGTATGGGAGTATGTAAAGAGGACCATACTATGAATCATTGGCATCCCTGAAAGGGACGGGGAGAAAGCGAACAACTTGGAAAACATATTTCAGGATATCATTCATGAAGACTTCCCCAACCTTGCTAGAGAGGCCAACAGTCAAATTCAGGAAATACAGAGGACTTCTCCAAGATTCTACACAAGAAGATCATCCCCAAGACACGTAATGATCAGAAATAAAAGAATGTTAAAGGCAGCTAGAGAGAAAGGGCAGGTCACCTACAAAGGGAGCCCCATCAGGCTAACAGCAGACCTCTCACCTGAAACAAGCCAGAAGAGATTGGGAACTTTATATTCAATATTCTTATAGAAAAAAATATCTTTAACCAAGAATTTCATATTAAGCTTCCTAAGTGAAGGAGAAATAAGATGTTTTTCAGGTAAGCAAAATTGAGGGAATTCATTCTCACCAGATCTGCTTTACAAGAGATCTTGAAAGGAGCACAAAATATAGAAAGAAAAAACCACTACCAGCTAATACAAAATACACTTAAACACACAGTCTGGTGTTAACATAAAGCAACCACACAAACAAGCCAAAATAATAATCAGCTAACAGCACAATGACAGGATCAAATCCACACATATTAATACTAACCTTGAATGTAAACAGGCTAAATGTTCCACTTAAAAGGCAGAGTGAGGCTGGGTGTGGTAGCTCATGCCTGTAATTCCAGCATTTGGGAGGTTGAGGAAGGTGGATCACTTGAGGCCAGAAATTCAAGACCAGCCTTGCCAACATGGTGAAACCCCATCTCTACTAAAAGTAGAAAAAAATTAGCTGAGTGTGGAGGTGCATGCCTGAAATCCCAGCTACTAGGGAGATTGAGGCATGAGAATCACTTGAACCCAGGAGGCAGAGGTTGCAGTAAGCTGAGATCATGCCACTGCACTGCAGCCTGGGTGACAGAGTGAGACTCTGTCAAAAGAAAGAAAGAAAAGAAAAAGGCATAGAGTGACAAGCTGAATAAAAAAGCAAGACCTAATGCCAATGGTATGCTGTCTTCAGGAGATCCATCTCACACATAATGATACTTATAGGCTCAAAATAAAGGGATGGAGGAAAACTTACCAAGCAAAATGGAAAACAGGAAAAAAAAGCAGAGATTGCAATAATAATTTCAGACAAAACAAATTTTAAACCAAAAAACATAAAAGACGACAAAGAAGGGCATTACAAAATGGTTCAACTCAACAGGAGGACCTATCCTAAATATATGTGCACCCAACACAGGAGCACCCAGATTCATAAAGCAAGTTTTTAGAGACCTACAAGGAGACATAGATATCTCCTAATAATAGTGGAAGACCTCAACACTCCACTGACAGTATTAGACAGATCACTGAGGCAGAAAATTAACAAAGATATTCAAGACCTAAACTCATTAGTGGACCAGATGAATCTGATTGACCTTTACAGAACTCTCCACCCAAAACAAGAAATATATATTCTTCTCATCACCACATAACACATGCTCTAAAATCAGAGCAGAACTGAAGGAAATAGAGACACCAAAAACCCTTCAAAAAATTAAGTAAGCCACATTTTGTTTTGGTTTCTCAGTGCATATAAAAGTTATGTTTACATTATACTGTATTCTATTAGGTGTGCATTATGTCTAGGAAATGTGTATAGCTTAATTAAAATATGCATTATTACTAAAAATGCTAGCAATAATCTAAGCCTTCAGTGGATTGTTATCTTTTTGTTAGTGGAGTGCCTTGCTTCAGTGTTGATGGCTGCTGACTGATCAGAGTGGTGGTCCCTGAAGGCTGAGCTGGCTCTGGCAATTTCTTAAAATAAGACAACAATAAAGTTTGTCTCATTGATTGACTACCTTTCATGAAAGATTTCTCTGTAGCATATGATGCTGTTTGATAGCATTTTACCCACAGTAGAATTTCTTTCTAAATCGGAGTCCATCCTCTCAAATCCTGCCACTGCTTTATAACCCAAGTTTATGTACTATTCTAAATCATGTGTTGTCATTTCAACAATGTTCACAGCATCTTCACCAGGAGTAGTTTTCATCTCAAGAAACTACTTTCTTTGATCATGCATAAAAAGCAACTCTTCTTTCATTAAACTTTAGTCATGACACTGCAGCAATTCAGTCACATTTTTAGGCTTCACTTGTAATTCTTGCTGTCTTGCTTTGTCTACCACATCTTCAGTGACTTCCTCCACTGAAGTCTTGAACCTTTCAAAGTCATCTATGATGATTGCAATAAACTTCTTTCAAAATGCTATTAATGCTGGTATTTTGAGATCCTCCTCCTAATCACAAATGTTTTTAATGGCACTTAGAATGGTGAGTCCTTTCCAGAAAATTTTCGATTTACTTTGCCCAGATCTATCAGAGGAATCAGTAGCTATGGCAGCTATAACCTTACAAAATGTTTTTCTTAAATAATAGGACTTGAAAGTAAAAAAGTATTCCTTGATTCATTGGCTGCAGAATGAATATTGTGTTAGCAGGCATGAAAACAACATTAATCTCTTTGAAATGACTCCATCAGAGCTCTTGGGTAAACAGATTCATTGTCAAGGAGCAGTAATATTTTGAAAGGCATCTTATTTTTTTTTCCTGAGCAGTAGGTCTCAACAGTGGGCTTAAAATATTTAGTGAACCATGGTGTAAACAGATGCACTATTGGTCAGGCTTTGTTCCATTTATAGAGCACTGGCAGAGTAGATTTGGCATAATTCCCAAAAGGCTCTAGAATTTTCAGAATGGTAAATGAGCATTGGCTTCAGCTTAAAATCACCAGTTGCATTAGCTTCTAACAAGAGAGCTTGCCTGTTCTTGAAAGCATTGAAGTCGAGCATTAACATCTCATCTCTAGCTATGAAAGTCCTGTATTAAATTTTCTTCCCATGTAAGGTTGTTTGTCTACATTGAACATCTGTTGGTTAGTGTAGCCACCTTCAATTATTCAATTAGGTATTTTCTGGATCACTTGCTGCAGCTTCTACATCAGTACTTGCTGCTTTGTCTTGCACTTTTGTGTTATAGACACACATTGAAAAACAAACAAAAATAAAACCAGAGAGCTCCGCTGGCTTCAGACTTTCTACTGTAGCTTTCTCATCTCTCTTGGCCTTCACAGAATTAAAGTTAGGGTCTTGTCCGGGATTAGGTTTTGGCTTAAGGGAATGCTATGGCTGGTTTGATGTTCTATGTTGACCACTAAAAGTTTCTTCATATCAGCAATAAAGCTGCTTTGCTTTATTTTCATTTGTGTGTGCACTGGAGTAGCACTTTCAATTTCCTTCAAGAACTTTTTCTTTGCATTCACAACATTGCTAACTGTTTGTCACAAGAGACCTAGCTTTTGACCTGTCTTAGCTGTTGACATGCTTTCCTCACTAAGCTTAATTATTTCCAGCTTTTAAGTTAAAGTTAAAGAAGTGCTATTCTTGCTTTAACTTGAACTCTTAGAGGCCATTGTGGGGTTAATTGGCTAATTTCAATATTGTTGTGTCTCAGGAAATAAGTAGGCTGGGGGAGAAGGAGAGAGATGGGGGAAATACACACAACATTCATTGATTAAGTTTGCTGTCTTACCTGGATACAGTTCATGGTGCCCCAAAACAATTACAATAGTAACATCAAAAATCATTGATCACAGACCACCATAACAGATGTAACAATAATGAAAACATCTGAAATACTATGAGAATTACCAAAACATGAAACAGAGACATGAAGTGAGCACACACTGTTGGGAAAATGGTGCCAAAAACTTGCTTTATGAATTGCCACAAACCTTCAATTTGTAAAAAGCACAATATCTGCAAAGTGAATCACAATAAAATAAGGAATGCCTGTAATAAACAGAACCCTTTTCTAAAGGTAATAAACCCAAGATAACAATTTGATAAGCATACTATCTATATTTTATACTAGCACTTAACAACTAATTCTTGTCAATATAAAAAATGTAAAGGAACTCCCAGTAAAATAAAACAGTTACCTGATACAATGGAAGCCAATTCATCTTAACTGCAAAGCTGAATGAGAAAATGTGTGTTTAATCAGTAATTTCTATGAATTTTGATCTTACTGATAAGAAGCCTTTCATGACTCGGTTGCTACTCTACACCAACCTCATTTTGGATGATCTCTGATCCTTACTAAATACTTTCCCCTCCCATCCCTGAAGTTAATAAACTCATTTGAAACAAAAACTTTTAGTAGGAGTTTTGGATATTTGAGAGACATAGTTATCTTCAAAGTCTGGTATGCTTCTCTGTCAATGGAAGTTGGTGGCAACAGGTTTCTCTGCTTAGGACTTAATTGAGATGAAGAATCAGGAAGACCCTGAAGAATTAGCATTCTGTCTGGATAGGGGAAAAATCATATTCAAGGTAATCAAAGAATTTTTGGGGGGAAGAAAAAAAGGCAATACTTCGGAATGCCAAAAAAAGAGTGTATTATATATAGTCAGTAAGCCATGGCTATGATCAAAAACACTTACTGATGGCAGAAATAATAGACCACCTACTGAAAGCAAAATAAAACAAAAATGGATGTCCTGTAAGAAAGATAAATGGAAGGGCTCAGTCCTAAAAGGCTGGCCAGCATTTGAGAGATAGTGGTTTGAACATTTTGCGTGTAAAGAATTTAAAACATAAACTTCTCAGAGTCACTTTGTATTAATGGAAGAGCTGTCACTTGAACCAAAGTCTCCCAGCTTTTAGCATGGTACTCCTTCTACTGATAATTCTGCTTTTCCATGCTGTGGCTACTCTACATCTTTCCAAAGAGGAAGACCATTTCCTCTCCCCAATGCTCATTGATATCCCCTCTAGTACCCCAGGGAAGGTAATCTCAACATTTACTAAACTATATGCTGGTTGTTAAATGTATGCTTATTCTTTCACATACATAGTCATCACAGATGTCAGTTGAAATCAACCTGTCCTTTGACATACACATATAATTCCTTAAAATTGGTTCAAATCTACTAATCTATGTCTGATGGGAAGTAAAAAATCCTCTTATAATTTTCAAAAATTCACTAGAAGTTTTATTTATTTTTATTTTTATTTTTTAAATTATTATTATACTTTAAGTTTTAGGATACATGTGCACAATGTGCAGTTTAGTTACATACGTATACATGTGCCATGCTGGTGTGCTGCACCCATTAACTCATCATTTAGCATTAGGTATATCACCTAATGCTATCCCTCCCCCCTCCCCCCACCCCACAACAGTCCCCAGAGTGTGATGTTCCCCTTCCTGTGTCCATGTGTTCTCATTGTTCAATTCCCATCTATGAGTGAGAACATGTGGTGTTTGGTTTTTTGTCCTTACGATAGTTTACTGAGAATGATGATTTCCAATTTCATCCATGTGCCTACAAAGGACATGAACTCATCATTTTTCATGGCTGCATAGTATTCCATGGTGTATATGTGCCACATTTTCTTAATCCAGTCTATCATTGTTGGACATTTGGGTTGGTTCCAAGTCTTTGCTATTGTGAATAGTGCCACAATAAACATACGTGTGCATGTGTCTTTTGTGTGCTTCCTTCTAGTTCTGATTTCTTGATTTCACTTCACCTCCCTTCACCTTACTTCCTGCGGCTATTGTCTTTTTTTAATCCCACTCCAACACAGAAGAGGAACTCAGCCTATTTTCCTCATTTGCCACAAAGCAGCAGTCCAGCAGATACTTGTTTTTTTTTTGTTGTTGTTTTGTTTTGTTTTGTTTTTGAGATGGAGTCTCTGTCTCCCAGGCTGGAGTGCAGTGGCACGATCTTAGCTCACTGCAAGCTCCACCTCCCGGGTTCACGCCATTCTCCTGCCTCAGCCTCCCGAGTAGCTGGGACTACAGGCACCACCATGCCCGGCTAATTTTTTGTATTTTTAGTAGAGACAGGGTTTCACCGTGTTAGCCAGGATGGTCTCGATCTTCTGACCTCGTGATCCGCCCGCCTCGGCCTCCCAAAGTGCTGGGATTACAGGCATGAGCCACTGCGCCCGGCCAGATACTTGTTTTTAATAGCAGAATTTGTAGGAGGAAAGGATAAAGAAAGGTTACATTACAGCACCACACTGCAAACTGTTTCTATATTAATATCCGATAATTCTTAAAATTCTTTAACCATCACCACTCATTACAATCTCTCATTGTACCACATTTCTCCATAGGTTGTCATCTATGTCATGTTACTCAACCTCTTCCTGCAGCTCTTCCTCTCTTATTTTCTCTACTTCCAGAGGACCACCAAAATCCAGGTTAATTTTTATGCAGAGAAACTTAAAATATCTTTGCATATTTATTACTCTATAAACAAGGACCTGGGGTGTGCAGGAGGGAGAGGAAGGGGGAGCTCAACATTACAACACTGTGGCCTAAATAGGCATTTTGTTATGGAAAAGACAATTTGCTCCAAAGAGGAGGGACAAGTGGTTGAAGAAAGAAATTTATTTAAATGGCATTGTTTTTGTGATTTTTTTAAAAATATATCACATCATAAAATTCTGAGACAAGATCCTAAGATAAAATCCTAAAACCAGGATTTTTTTCTCATCAAGTAAAATAGGTAGACCAGAATTTGACTTCAGTTCTCTGTACAGGTACCTACAAAGGGTGGATTCAGATTTTGAATACATGAATATTTAGTTAGAATGAGAAAAGATGATTTTGTATAAGCGGTCTGTGCCAATGAGAGAGAAGTTTTATTAGCTTCTCATTACATCCACCTCTGAGCCTAACCAGAACCTTAAGTCTATAAGTTCATGTAAGGCTCAGCAGATGCGTACATTTAACTACAATAAAAATAAGTCATCTTCTCAACTGATCTAACCCAGGGCACCCAGGTGCCCTATTGTACTTACAGAAAGCTATTCTGTATACAACTTTGACACTGATTAATTTTTAAAAAGTAAATTAAAAATTGGCTCAGTTGGAATAGAACTTAACATTAGTACAACCCCCCTCCCCGTGCTGGCCTTGCTTTTAAAGGCCTTGTTTAGTGAACAATCTTCTTAATTAACTGATTTTCAACAAAGGTCCCAAAACAATGGAGAAAAGACAGTGCTTTCAATAAATGGGACAGGAAATACCGGAGATACATGAAAAGTAATGAAGTTCGACATCATATACAGAATTAGAATAGATGGAAGACCCAAGTGTAAGAGCTAAAACTATACAATTCTTAGAAAAAGATGAAGTAAATCTTCATAACATTGGATTAGGCAATGATTTCATAGACATGCGCTAAAAGTACAGGCAACAGAAAAGAAAACAGATAAATTGGAATTCATCAAGATTAAATACTTTTGTGCATCAAAGGACACTAACAAGAGAGTGGAAAGACAACCTACAGAAAGGGGGGAAATATTTGCATATCATACATCTCAATATCTGATAAGAGATTAATATCCAGAATATGTAAAGAACTCCTACAACTTTTTTAAAAAGCAAAAAAAATTCCAGCAGTTAATATGTGAGCAAATAACTCAAATATGTATTTCTTTAATGAAAATATACAAATAGCCAATACAAGCACATGACATGATGTGCAGCATCACCAGCCATCAGGCAAATACAAATCAAAACCACAATAAGATACCACTTCTTTGGCATTAGGATCATTATTATATTAATAGCAACAGAAACAATAGAAAATAGTAAGTGTTGGGGAGGAAGTGGAGAAATTAGAACCCTTGTGTGTAACTGATGGGAATGTAAAATGATACAGCAACTGTGAAAAACAGTCTGGTGGTTCTTCAAACAGTTAAAAATAGAATTACCATATAATTCAGCAATGCTACTCCTGGGTATATACCCAACAGAATTGAGAACAGAGAATCAAACAGACACTTGTACACCAATGTTCATAGCATACTCACAGAAGCCAAAAGGTAAAAACAACCCAAATGTCCATCAAAAGATGAACGAATAAATAAAATCTGCTACATACACAATGGAATATTATTCTACCTTAAAAAGAAATGAAATTCTGGTACATGCTGCAACATGGATGAACTCTAAAAACATTATGCTATGTGAAGTAAGCCAGACACAAAAAGACAAATATTTTATGATTCATTTAAATGAAATGTTCAGAGTAGGCAAATCCATAGAGACAGAAAGCAGGTTAGTGCTTGCCCAGGACTGGCAGTCAAGAAGAAATGGAGAGTTATTATTTAGTAGGTACACATTTTCTGTTTGAGATTATGAAAATGTTATGGAAATAGTGATGGTTATACAACACTATGAAGGTACTTAACATCACTGATGTACACTTAGAAATTGTTAAAATGATACATTTTATATTATGTATATTTTATCACAATAAAAATTAAGTATCTGGGAAGGTTTTTTTTATTTTTCCTGCCACTTTTCTGTAAATCCAAAATTATGTCAAAAGAAAAGGTCATAAGAATAAAAGAAAGCCTAATAGTTTAGGATGATGTCATCACAATAGGTGGTGCATATCTCCTTTGACAAGAGCACATAATTCTACAGGGCTAATCCCAAATCTCTCCATTAAAGGACTATCTCTACCAAACTTGCCCCCAAATGAATGCTGCTTCCACTTCAGGGTGATCTTTGTTTTCTGTTCAATTGAGTATCCCTTTCTCTCCTGGGGCTTCTCTTCTACCTAGGAGTTCTACAGTTCCTCCAGCGGGTGCACATGGATTGAAACAAGAGTCTTAGGATGGCTTAACAATGCCCTCTCCATAGCCAATAGACAGACTGTAGGCTTCAGTTTTACATGGATATAGAAAGACCTTATTGTCTTGGTCCAAGTGCTGTAGAACAAGGGGTTTTAACCATAGGTCAGGTTGATATGTAAGATTTCTCTAGAACCAGGAGAAATACTATAAAATTCATATTAATCATATGTTAACATCTGACTATCTCCGCATAGGGCTTATTACATATAGGGCTTGCAAATATGGGTTATTTACATATGATATTGCAATGAAAGATCTTATATGGTGAATTCTTTTTCCTAACTTACTTTTTTGGTTCTGTCAACTCTATTCCAGGGACATAAGAAAGGTTAGTTTATTGAGTGCAATGAGCAAAGGTTGTGAAACCCTATCTTCTTTTTTTCCTTTCATACCTAGTCCCTGGGCATTTTACCCTTATACTCAAAAAATTCTTCCTGTGGAGTTGGATGTGGCTAATGATAAATGCATTGATTATTTCTGTTGGTCTATGATTTGGTTTTCCTGAGTCTCTATCATTCCTCTTCGGGTAAGAAATAGAAAACTTGAATTAATAGGTGTAAATATTACTTTTTTGTGTCATATCCTCCCCAATCCCTGGTTATCTGTTCATAAGAAAGGGGTCAAATCCCTGTTTGTTCAATGTACTTGAAGCTGTCATCTCAGATGCTGAGGCTCAATCTCATGGACTTACCCCCTTTTAAGGCAGAGGTGGGTGTGTAATCATTTTGCGCTCATCCACTTAATTTTATTTAGTAGGAATAGAAGGAATACAACTTTCTTCCAGCCAATTGTGACTGGAAGTACACATTCATCTATAATTTGCTAAACCAACATGTTCCCTTTCAAATGAAGCATATTTAGTGAGTTTTTTCTCCTTTCCCTAAAATGAGATAATCATAGCAAGAGTTGTTTTTGAGAGAACAGAAAGTTATATTCATTATCCTGCTTTACAAACAAGAAAATTAACACAGGGAGATGAAATGACTGACTCAAGGTCACATAGTGAGTCAGTGGCAGGGCTGGAAATAAAATGCAAGTAATATAGAATAGGCATGCTATTATCCTTTCTGCTTTGAAAAATTTTTCCTCCCCTCACCTCCCTCATTTTTTATTGTACAGATTTAGGGTATACAAAAAGATATTTTGATATACATATACATGGTGAAATGATTACTACATGTACACAACTAAAGATACCCATCACCTTCCATAGTTACCTCTTTCCCGCATGCACGCGCGCATGCATGCATGTGTGTGTATGTGTGTGTAACAGCACCTAAAATCTACTCTCTTAGCAAATTTTAAATATAAAATTTAATATTATTAACTATAATCCTCCTGCTATACATTAAATCCCTAGACTTATTTATCTTACATAACTGAACGTTTGTACTCTTTGACTTACATCTCCTCATTTTCTCCCCCTCCTTTTCCCTAGTAACTAACCACTGCTCTATTCTCTGTTTCTCTGTATTTGACTTAAAAATATTCCATATGTGAGATTGCACAGTATTTTTCTTTCTGCATCTGGCTAATTTCACTTAGCATAATGTCCTCTAGCTTGATTCATGTTGTCACAAATGGCAGTATCTTTTTTTAAGGCTGAGTAATATTCTATTTTGTGTGTGTATGTGTGTGTGTGTATCACAATATCTTTATTTATCCATCGACTATTTTCGTATCTTGGTTATTGTGAATTATGTTGTAATAAACATGAAAGTGCAGGTATCTCTTTGAGGTATTGATTTCATTTCCCCTAATACCCAGAAAGGGACTGCTGCATTATATGGTATTTCAATTTTTATTTTTTTGAGGAACCGCCATACTTTTTTGCATAATGTATGTCCAAATTATAGTTCCACAAATAGTGTACAAGGGTCTTCCTTTCTCCAAATCCTCACCTCCATATCTTTCATTTTTTGGTAGTAGCCATCATAACAGATATGAAGTAACATCTCATTGTGGTTTTGATTCCCATTTCCTCAATGATTAATAATATCAAGCACCTCTTCATATACTTGCAGGCCATTTTTATGTCTTCTTTGGAGAAGTATCTATTCAGATTCTTTGCCCATTTTAAAATTGGATTTTTTTTTTGGCTAGTGAGTAGTGTGAGTTCCTTATATGTTTTGAATATTAGCCCTTATCAGATATATGGTTCACAAATATTTTCCCCCAATCCATAGGCTGCTTTTTGATTTTTTTGATTGTTTCCTTTGCTGTGCAGAAGCTTTTTTAATTTGTTGTAGTCTCACCTGTTTATTTTTGCTTTTGTTGCCTGTGCTTTTAGTGTGATATTCAAAAATATCATTGCCAAAGTCAGTATCAAGGACCTTTCCCCCTATGTTTTCTTCTAGGAGTCTTTTTTTTTTTTTTAATACTTTAACTTTTAGAGTACATGTGCACAACGTGCAGGTTAGTTACATATGTATACATGTGCCATGTTGGTGTGCTGCACCCAGTAACTTGTCATTTAACATTAGGTATATCTCCTAATGCTATCCCTCCCCCCTCCCCCTACCCCACAACAGGCCCCGGTGTGTGATGTTCCCCTTCCTGTGTCCATGTGTTCTCATTGTTCAATTCCCACCTATGAGTGAGAACATTTGGTGTTTGGTTTTTTGTCCTTGCGATAGTTTGCTGAGAATGATGGTTTCCAGCTTCATCCATGTCCCTACAAAGGACATGAACTCATCCTTTTTATGGCTGCATAGTATTCCATGGTGTATATGTGCCACATTTTCTTAATCCAGTCTATCATTGTTGCACATTTGGATTGGTTCCAAGTCTTTGCTATTGTGAATAGTCCGCAATAAACATATGTGTGCATGTGTCTTTATAGCAGCATGATTTATAATCCTTTGGGTATATACCCAGTAATGGGATGGCTGGGTCAAATGGTATTTCTAGTTCTAGATCCCTGAGGAATCGCCACACTGACTTCCACAATGGTTGAACTAGTTTACAGTCCCACCAACAGTGTAAAAGTGTTCCTATTTCTCCACATCCTCTCCAGCACCTGTTGTTTCCTGACTTTTTAATGATTGCCATTCTAACTGGTGTGAGATGGTATCTCATTGTGGTTTTGATTTGCATTTCTCTGATGGCCAGTGATGATGAGCATTTTTTCATGTGTCTTTTAGGAGTTTTATGGTGTCTCATCTTACATTTAGGGCTTTAGTCCATTTTGTGTTGATTTTTGTATATGATGTAAGATAAGGGCCCAGTTTCATTCTTCTGCATATGGAGATCCCGTTTTCCTAAGACCATTTATAGCAAGATTCTGATGAATATTTTCCACATGAAGATGAAATCAGCTCTTCTTTCCTTATCTCCTGAAAGCAGATCATCATGAGTGGTATTTTCAGAACACTCTAATTATTTTTTATGTTACTAATTGTTTCCCTGGAAGAGTTTGTGCACTGGTCAGAGTTCCCATTTGAAGGAAAGCCAGAAATGGTAGCTGTTTTGGGAAACATACCATGTGGGAAAAGAGTAGCTCATTTCTGAGCAGATAGTACAGAAATATTAAAGCTTTTAAAACTACTAATATTTTATAACTTTTAAATATCTAATGTCATAATTAATCTCATTCAACATTTATAAAACTTTATGAGGTAGCTTTCTTTTTTTTAATAAAAAATCCCATTTTACAAATGAAGAAACTGAGGCTCATGGAAGTATATAACTTCTTGACGTTCACACAGTTAGAAAGTGCCTAGCCAAGGCTGTTAGCTCTGCGGCATCATCTCTCCTTCTGGCAAATAGGCCTCGGACCTTTTCTCATTCTCATAAAGTAGGGGTGATGGTGTTCCCTTTGTGCAGGTAAACCAGCTCTCCTTTCTCTGGACCTAGGAATTTCTGGTATTTGAAAAATCATTTCTCCCATTTTCTACCACCCCTCACTCTTCCCACGCTAACTCTCTCTCCCCATAAAGAACCCTTTAGTCTATCTCTACCACTGTTTTTCTAGGTTGGGAGCATATACCTAACTGAACTCAGCAACTACTTGACTGTGCCATTCCTCCCAAGTAAACATGGAGAGCTGGGAGGACTCTTGGGGACTGCAAAAGTCCTAGAAAGGGAGAGACACCTACCACCTGGCTTCACATACTCTTCTTTGAAGGACAAAGTCTTTGTTCCAGCTGATAGGATTCAAGTTTATATATAAATGAATAGAAATGCTTTTTCCTCCTTGAGCACTTGTTTCAGGTGTTGTGACTGCACCACTTCCTGTAACTTCTCATTTCCTGTTTTCCTCTGAGAAAGCCTAACATGTTAGACAAGGAAACAGGCTCTATGTCTTCATGAGGGTACAGCCTCTCTAATACTTACTATCTGTGTTTCCAGATCTTGGGAAAAAGTGAATATGAAGGACTACTATCTTCTCAGAAAACTGACATAATTCCCTACATAAGGCCATTGTGGGCTTCGAAATGGAAGAGATAGATAAGGGCCTCCGTTTCTTGACCTTGCTCCTTTAATATGGAACCTAAAGACATCCAAGTGCATATCAGTTGAGCAAGTCTGTTAGTGGAGATCAGAAGCGCCAGCTCATGACTAAGCCACTTGGAGAGTTTACCACAGCAAGGTGGTTTTGACTGTTATACCACTTTACATGGTTTTTATTCTTATTCATACATTTGTTTCATATATGTCCATAATAGGTCATTGGTTAAGGCTACAGATCATAAAGAATATTCATGTTGAAATATAAGTTAATGAAGAGGGGCACATGTTCTCAGAACCTCCTGAGGGCTGTGTCATGGGCAAAAAGAAATATATTTTAAAGAAAAAAGTTAATAAGGAACATAAAAATGATCACTTAGAAAATCCATGTGATGATTAAAATTAAAATTAAAAATAACAATTATAAACATTTTAAATTTTCAAAAAGTTATAAAACTATATATTAGATACTACGTGTTCACCATGCCATATTTGTCATAATTGTTTCCTACCTCTTTTTTTATAAGTAGTAATATTTATAGATGTAGTCAGAAATTCACCTCCATCCTTTCCCCTTCCTTACTTCCTCCTTTCTCAGAGGTAACTACTATATTGAGTGTATATAGAGTATTCCTTTGCATGTTTATACCTTAGTACATATGTCTATATCTATAAATATTCGATCTTATTTTAAGTTTATGTATGTATTCTATTTCTAAAATTTTTCCATATTGATTGTCAAAAATATCTTAATCTAAAAAATATTTTATAGTACATCAAGATGTTAACACTTAACTAAACCCTAGTAAATTAAGCACTTGAAAACTCAGCATGAATATTATTAAATAAAATTTTGTAGGCTCTAAATGCTAGAAACAAAAATCAAAATCCTCAAAGAAATTTGTGTACATTTCTGAGATAATGCAAAGTAGTTAAATTTCAATCTTCATTTTAATGCATATATTTTTATCCCCAAACTTCACAGATACCTTATTTGAGTCCTTGATTTCCTAGCTTATGGCCCAATTCTAGGTGAAGAGCACCACATTAACTCCCAACAACCAGGAACTCCCTGTATTGAGAACTGGGCAACTTCATCTTCAAGAGCCCAAGAGCTAGATCTCCATTCTGTCATGAGCCAAGATGTCTCCATCTCACAACTATGTTGAACTCCACAACCATCTAAATCAGTTAATGTCCTTAGTCTACTGATGATACCCAAGCCCCTAAACACATGTTGGAAATTGATTCCTCCCGTGGGTCCACAAGTATGCTTATCTTATAGTCCTAACATAGACTGCCATGATTTCCTTACACACATAAGGTAATAAAATGTCCTTCAGGAGAACATAGGGCCTTTCTTTGAAGGGGAAGGGCAGTGGAGTAGGAAATAGAATAATTAAAAGAGAAAGGAAAGATCCAGTAATGAAAACAATAGATCAAAAGGTAAACAAATTAGTTTTTTAACCATATCCTGGTTCAGTTAATATTTACCATCTATAACTTTGTGTTTTGTTGCTAGAACAAAGACCTTGCCTGTAACAACACAGTATAAGAAGCCAAACAGTGAGTGTCTCTCCACTGTGATAACTGCTGCTATCCCCCTCAGTACTCCTGAAAACCCATGGAGAGTGTGATGGAGAGGCATCTTCCGGGTATCCTGCTCCTCACCACTCTCTCGAGAGGTGTGACAGTGAGGTAGGAACTGAGCTAATGAGCTAATTGGGAAGTTTCCTCCACGTCCCAAGAGAACTAGAATATAAGACCTATTGTTGGTTTTGTTGCTGCTGCTGCTACAGTTTCAGAAAGGTATGAATGAAGGTTGGCATATGAGTAACCTATTATTCCAAAACAATCTGCCACAAAATTTAACAGCTTGAAACAACAAATATTTATTAACTCTGGTTTTCTGTGGGTCAAGAAATATAGAGTAGCAGGGCTAATGATTCTGAATGAAGATCTTTCATGAAGTTGAAGTCAATAAATGAGAGCTGTAGTCTCATCTGAATGCTCGACAGGAAAAGAATCTGCTTCCAAGCTCACTTACGTGGTTGCTGTCAGGATTCAGCTCTTTATACGATGTTGGATTGAAGGCCTAATTTTATCACTTACTATTGGCCATAAGTCTCCCTTAGTTCCTGGCCACATGGGTCTTCCCATAGAGCAGCCTGCAACATGGCAGCTAGCTTCTGCAATGATGAGTGATTTGACATAGGGAGAGAAAGTGCCCAGCACAGAAGCCTCAGCCTTTTGATAATCTAATCTTAGAAATCACATACTTCATTCCTGCTGTATTCTATTCATTAGAAGTGAATCAGCCCAGCATCAGGCCAGTGCCACTCTGGAATGAAGCTTTCAGAGGAAGGAGCAGGCAGCAATCTTTGCTGTTCTGCAGCGTCTACTGGTGATACCCCGGCAAAGAGGTCTGGAGTGGACCTCCAGCAAACTGCAGCAGACAGACCTACAGAAGAGGGGCCTGATGGTTAGAAGAAAAACTAACAAACAAAGCCACAGCATCAACATCAACATTAACATCAAGGACCCCCACACAAAAACCCCATCCAAAAATCATCATCCTCAAAGATCAAAGGTAGATAAATCCATGAAGATGAGGAAAAACCAAGGCAAAAACACTGAAAATTCCAAAAACCAGAATGCCTCTACTCCTCCAAATGATCGCAAATCCTCTCCAGGAAGGGCACAAAACTGGATGGAGAATGAGATTGACGAATTGACAGAAGTAGGCTTCGGAAGGCGGGTAATAACAAACTCCTCTGAGCTGAAGGAGCATGTTCTAACCCAATGCAAGAAAGCCAAGAACCTTGATAAAAGATTACAGGAACTGTTAACTAGAATAACCAGTTTAGAGAGGAAAATAAATGACCTGATGGAGCTGAAAAACACAGCACGAGATCTTTGTAAAGCATACACAAGTATCAATAGCTGAATTGATCAAGTAGAAGAAAGGATATCAGAGACTGAAGATCAACTTACTAAAATAAGGTGTGAAGCCAAGATTAGAGAAAAAAAGAATGAAAAGGAATAAACAAAGCCTCCAAAAAATATGGAACTATGTGAAAAGACCAAACCTATAATTGATTGGTGTACCTGAAAGTAACGGGGAGAATGGAACCCAGTCAGAAAACACACTTCAGGATATTATCCAGGGGAACTTCCCCAATCTAGCAAGATGGGCCAACGTTCAAATTCAGGAAATACAGAGAACACTACCAAGATACTCCTCAAGAAGAGCAACCCCAAGACACATAATTGTCAGATTCTCCAAGGTTGAAAGAAAGGAAAAAATATTAAGGGCAGCCAGAGAGAAAGGTAAGGTGACCTACAAAGGGAAGCCCATCAGACTAACAGCAGATCTCTCTACAGAAACCCTACAAGCCAGAAGAGAGTGGGGATCAATATTCAACATTCTTAAAGAAAAGAATTTTCAACCCAGAATTTTATAGCCAGCCAAAAGCTTCGTAAGTGAAGGAGAAATAAAATCCTTTCAAGACAAACAAATGCTGAGGGATTTTGTCACCACCAGGCTTGCATTACAAGAGCTCCTGAAGGAAGCACTAAATATGGAAAGGAAAAACTGTACCAGCCACTGCAAAAACACCAAAATATAAAGACCGATGATACTGTGAAGAAACTACGTCAATTAATGTTCAAAATAACCCGCTAGCATGATGATGACAGGATCAAATTCACACATAACAATATTAACCTTAAATGTAAATGGGCTAAATACCCCAATTAAAAGACACAGATTGGCAAATTGGATAAAAAGTCAAGACCCATTGGTCAGGAGACTGATCTCACCTGCAAAGACAAACATAGGCTCAAAATAAAGGGATGGAGGAATATTTACCAAGCGAATGGAAAGGAAAAAAAAAGCAGAGGTTGCAACGCTAGTTTCTGATAAAACAAACTTTAAACCAACAAAGATCAAAAGAGACAAAGAAGGGCATTGCATACTCGTAAAGGGATCAATGCAACAAGAAGAGCTGACTATCCTAAATATATATGCACCCAATACAGGAGCACCCAGATTCATAAAGCAAGTTCTTAGAGACCTACAAAGAGATTTAGACTCTCACACAATAATAGTGGGAGACTTTAACACCCCACTGTCAATATTAGATCAACGAGACAGAAAATTAACAAGGGTATTCAGGACTTGAACTCAGCTCTGGACCAAGTGGACCTAATAGACATCTACAGATCTCTCCACCCCAAATCAACAGAATATACATTCTTCTCAGCATCACATTGCATATATTCTAAAATTGACCACATAATTGGAAGTAACACACGCCTCAGCAAATACAAAAGAACAGAAATCATAACAAACAGTCTCTCAGACCACAGTGCAATCAAATTAGAACTCAGGATTAAAAAACGCTCTCACAATGGCGCAACTACATGGAAAATGAACTACCTGCTCCCGAGTGACTATTGGGCACATAACGAAATTAAGACACAAATAAAGAAGTTCTTTGAAATCAACGAGAATAAAGAGACAATGTATTAGAATCTCTGGGACACAGCTAAAGCAGTGGGAAATTTATAGCACTAAATACCCACAACAGAAAGCTGGAAAGATCTAAAATCAACACCCTAACATCACAGTGAAAAGAACTAGAGAAGCAAGAGATAACAAATTCAAAAGCTAGCATAAGACAGGAAATAACTAAGATCAGAGCAGAAGTGAAGGAGATAGAGACACGAAAAGTCCTTCAAAAAATCAATGAATCCAGTAGCTGGTTCTTTGAAAAAATGAACAAAATAGATAGACTGCTAGCTAGACTAAAAAAGAAGAGAGAAGAATCAAACAGACAAAATAAAAAATGATAAAGGGGATATCACCACTGATTCCACAGAAATACAAAATACCATCAGAGAATACTATAAACACCTCTAAGCAAATAAACTGGAAAACCTAGAAGAAATGCATAAATTCCTGGACACATACACCCTCCCAAGACTAAATCAGGAAGAAGTCGAATCCCTGAATAGAACAATAACAAGTTCTGAAATTGAGGCAGTAATTAATAGTCTACCAACCAAAAAAAGCCCAGGACCAGATGGATTTGCAGCCAAATCCTACCAAAGGT
The DNA here is from genome assembly GCF_000001405.40 of Homo sapiens. Lineage (NCBI taxonomy): Eukaryota > Metazoa > Chordata > Mammalia > Primates > Hominidae > Homo > Homo sapiens. The sequence goes on from NW_025791759.1 coordinate 23,930, forward strand.
ACAAATAGGAGCTGGTACAATTTCTTCTGAAACTATTCCAAACCACAGAAAAAGAGGGACTCTTCCCTAACTCATTTTATGAGGCCAGTGTTATCCTCATACCAAAACCTGGCAGAGACACAACAAAAAAAAAAAAAAAAAAAAGGAAATTTCAGGCCAATATCCCTGAAGAACATCAATGTGAAAATCTTCAATAAAATACTGGCAAACCAAATCCAACAGCACATCAAACAGTTTATCCACCACGAACAATTTGGCTTCATCCCTGGGATGCAAGGCTGGTTTAACATATGAATATCAATAAACGTAATCCATCACGTAAATAGAACTAATGACAAAACCACATGATGATCTCAATAGATGCAGAAAAGGCCTTTGATAAAATTCAACGTCATTTATGCTAAAAATTCTCAATAAACTAGGTATGAATGGAGCATATCTTAAAATAATAAGAGCAACTTATGAGAAACCCATAGCCAATATCATATCGAATGGACAAAAGCTGGAAGCATTCCCTTTGAAAATTGACACAAGTCAAGAATGCCCTCTCTCACCACTCCTATTCAACATACTACTGGAAATTCTAGCCAGGGCAATCAGGCAAGAGAAAGAAATAAAGCATATTCAAATAGGAAGACAGAAAGTCAAATCGTCTGTGTTTGCAGACGACATGATTGTATATTTAGAAAGTCCGATCATCTCAGTCCAAAAACTCCATAAGCTGATGAGCTACTTCAGCAAAGTCTCAGGATACAAAATCAATGTGCAAAAATCACAAGCATTCCTATACACCGACAATAGACAAGCAGAGAGCCAAATCATGAGTGAACTCCCATTCATAATTGCTACAAAAAGAATAAAATACCTAGGAATACAACTTACAAGGGACACAAAGGACCTCTTCAAAGAGAAGTACAAACCACTGCTAAAGGAAATAAGAGAGGACACTAACAAATGGAAAAGCATTTCTTGCTCATGGATAGGAAAAATCAATATCGTGAAAATGGCCATACTGCCCAAAGTAATTTATATATTCTATGCTATTCCCATCAATCTATCAGTGGACTTTCTTCACAGAATTAGAAAAAACTACTTTAAATTTCATATGGAACCAAAAAAGAGCTTGTATAGCCAAGACAATCCTAAGCAAAAAGAACAAAGCTGGCGGCATCACGCTACCTGTCTCCAAACCATACTACAAGGCTACAGTAACCGAAACAGCATAGTACTGGTACCAAAACAGACACATGGACCAATGGAACAGAACAGAGACCTCAGAAATAACACCACACATTTACAACCATCTGATCTTCAACAAACCTGACAAAAAAAGCAATAAGGAAGGGATTCTGTATTTAATAAATGGTGCTGGGAAAATTGGCTAGTCATATGCAGAAAATTGAAACTGGACCCCTTCCTTACACTTATACAAAAATTAACTCAAGATGGATTAAAGACTTAAATGTAAAACCCAAAACCATAAAAATCTTAGAAGAAAACGTAGGCAATACCATTCAGGACATAGGCATGGGCAAAGACTTCATGACTAAAACACCAAGAGCAATTGCAACAAAAGCCAGAACTGACAAATGGTACCTAATCAAATGAAAGAGCTTCTGCACAGCAAAAGGAACTATCATCAGAGTGAACAGACAACCTACAGAAGGGAGGAAAATTTTTACAAGCTACCCATCTGACAAAGGTCTAATATCCAGAATCTACAAAGAACTTAAACAAATTTACAAGAAAAAAACCAACAACCCCATCAAAAAGTGGGCAAAGGATATGAACAGACACTTCTCAAAAGAAGGCATTAATATGGTCAACAAACATATGAAAAAAAGCTCATTGCCACTCATCATCAGAGAAATGCAAATCAAAACCACAATGAGATACCATCTCTTGCCAGTTAGAATGGCAATTGTTAAATGGTCAGGAAACAAGAGATGCTGGTGAGGCTGTGGAGAAATAGGAACACTTTTATACTGTTGGTGGGAGTGTAAATTAGTTTAACCATTGTGGAAGACAGTGTAGTGATTCCTCAAGGATCTAGAACCAGAAATACCATTTGACCCAGCCATCCCATTACTGGGTATATACCCAAAGGATTATAAATCATTCTACTATAAAGGCACAAACACACGTGTGTTATTGTGGCACTGTTCACAATAGCAAAGACTTGCAACCATCCCAGATGCCCATCAATGATAGACTGGATAAAGAAAATGTGGCACATATACACCATGGAATACTATGCAAGCATAAAAAAGAGTGAGTTCATGTCCTTTGTAGGGACATGGATGAAGCTGGAAGCCATCATTCTCAGCAAACTAACACAGGAACAGAAGGCCAAACACTGCACATTCTCACTCATAAGTGGGATTTGGACAATGAGAACACATGGACACAGAGAGGGTAACATCACACACTGGGGCCTATTCGGGGGTGGGGTGCAAGGGGACGGAGAGCATTAGGACAAATATCTAATGCATGCAGGGCTTAAAACCTAAATGATGGATTGATAGGTGCAGCTAAGCACCATGGCACATGTATACCTATGTAACAAACCTGCATGCTCTGCACATGTATTCCAGAACTTAAAGTAAAAAAAAAAAAAAAAAAAAAAGAAGTGAGTCAGACCACACCCAAGGGGAAGAAAATTATTTTTTGACTTATTTTTAGAACCACCACAGATGCTGTTGAATAAGGATATGCCTCACATAAGGAACTCTTACAGCTGGAGAAAGGAGAACTGGCTTTGCTTGTATGGAAATGTTATTACCTCTCAACTGAGAAAATAAGAAGAGGTATGCGGTATTGGCTGGAAAAGAGAACTTGTTACAGTGGTTAGGGCATTATCCTTCTGATCCTTCTCAAATGCTCAGTCAGGATAACGTGAGAGAAAATATGAAATCTAAAAAGTAGGTTGGAGTTTAAATCAGATAACCAGTTTCTACCAAACTGAATTGAATAATCTTTGTGAAATTGCTGAACTTTGACCCTCAGAGTCTTCATCTATACAGTGGGAATGAAAACAACATCCATTTAGCAAAGAGTTGTCATGAAGATTGGGTGAGATCAATTAAAGGCAATATGTACTTTGTGATACATACATGTTATAAAATTATTTTTTATTAGCCATAAAAAGCCTTAATGTTTCAGTACCATTTTTTTCCTTTTTATTACTGCCACTAAGGACAACCTCATCTTCTCAAGTTTGAGACAGCATTTCTTTATAGCATTACTATCAGTAATGAGTTTTTCAAAATCTCACTCTCTGGCTAAGCACGCTATTTTGCTCTAGGTTTGTATACTGACAAGCTTACAAATCACAAGCAGGTAGATAATTAGATCACAGGGTACAAATGCATGGTTTACCTTTCCATCCTCGTAGTTCCTGCTGTACTGACTAAAGTTCTCCCTCTCTTTCTCTCTATCTTTATTAAAGTGTGTCATCTCTTCCTAGCTTCCTCTCCTTAAGTGCTCTGTTAACTATTTTTCATCCAGGATGAGCATTCTAAAAAAGGCCTGTATCTAAGGAAATAGAAATTCATGCTGTTTTTCCATTTCCTGCAATGAAGCAAAACTAACTCAATTCAAGACTCCATAGTGCTTCTAGGTTCTGTCTCCCTTAATTCAGTTAGTCATTTTTCTCTAGTTTATTTTCTAGACCGTAGTATTTGTTAAATTTGCTTTCCTAAGCAAGAAAAAAAATAGTTGATTTTATAATGATTAAGCCCTTCTCTTCTCTTATGGATCTTAAGAGGAAATAAGTCAATGATAAGTAATTCCATGATCCTAGTGTTGCAGCTGCAGGTAAACAAACAGTGGAAAACTGGTCCTGCCTTAATTGGCATACAAGAGCAAACAGGGATTGGAGAAGAAGGCAAGAATACTATAAGGGTCTGGGCCATGTGGTTTGCACACTATTCTATTCCTCAGACTTGGCACTGACCACAAGTGTTGGTTCATCATTGCCAAGCCAGGAATCAAGATGAGCCATTAAAAGTCTATGTAACTTCAGCCACAACTGTGCCATGGGAGAATCTCAGAATCTGATCAGTGGTGGGAGAATGGAATACTATCCATTACACTCAATGAGTTAGCTGTGTTTCATTTTCTGTGACTGGTGTTTGCTATTTTATCTGGATAAAATCTTCAAGGAAGATGGAGCTGGGAGTTGATACAGAACATCTTTAACTTACCCTTCTAACAGGACAAGTGGACCAAAACATGGGTTTTTAACACTGGTATTTTGCTTATACGGTCATTGACATAATGCACTCACAGGTACTTTGCAAACTCTAGCATGCTAACTTCACTCTGTTAGGAGACAGCCTAGGGTCCACAGTGAGAGCAAATCCGAGTTCACTAAATTTTTTCACATTATCTTTTCTCCACAGACATGTGAGGGAAGGCATTTATTTTCCCTCAAGAATCAGCTACAGTCTATGTGTCCCTGATCCCCAAGGTGAAGAAGCCCCTGAAGAACTTCAAGCTTTGCCTGAAAACCTTCACAGACTTCACCTGCCCTTATAGCCTCTTCTACAGCACTCGGTCCCAGGACAATGAGCTGCTTCTCCTTGTCAACAAAATGGGAATGTATCTGCTGCACATTGGAAATGCTGCAGTCACTTTCAATGGCCCCACCCCCTGCCCTCGATCTCCTTATGCTTCGACCCATGTCAATGTGAGCTGGGAGTCTGCCTCTGGAATTGCTACACTCTGGGCAAATGGGAAGCTGGTGGGGAGGAAGGGTGTGTGGAAGGGGTACTCTGTGGGAGAAGAGGCTAAGATCATCCTGGGACAAGAGCAGGATTCCTTTGGGGGACATTTTGATGAAAATCAATCCTTTGTTGGGGTGATATGGGATGTGTTTTTGTGGGATCATGTGCTCCCTCCAAAGGAGATGTGTGACTCCTGTTACAGCGGCAGCCTCCTGAATCGGCATACCCTGACTTATGAAGATAATGGCTATGTGGTAACTAAGCCCAAGGTGTGGGCTTAAGTCTCATTCTCTTCGGTCATGATTTGTGTTTTGTGATAATCACATACTCTTTGAAATTAATGCATGGATTTTGTTTTCTTTTTCTGGCTCTGTTACGATAGTATAAACTATATTTTAAAAAGACAAGGGATAAGTAGGATTTCAATATACATTGTTTATTGTTGCAAAAATTATTTTGGGTGAATTGCACCATAATTTTCTGCAGTGCCAAACTACAGGAACTCAGGGGAACACACTACTTTCAGTACTGGTCACCAATCTTACAGAGCCCTGTACCACTGTGGGAGGTCCTATGGGGGTTCTGCGCACTCATATTCAGCAATCTATAAAACTGATGTGACTACTGGGAGAGGCTTTCAGAAGTGGGCTAATATAGTGAGCAGGAGCCCCAAAGAGGGAGTCTCAAAAGGGGTTTTCACAGGAGCAGGGTTGTGAGAGTATTTCCTTGGTACTCACTGCAAGCGGACTCAGAGGTCTCCTGGGAAAACACCTAGATAAAGGCAAAGATAAGCTGCCCTGGAGGTTTCTCATTATACCCACTCAGCTTGCTCTCCTGCAGGTAGTGCTCTGAAGGAGCAAATCTTTTACTGTTTCAGGCAATGTTTCATAAACATGAAGGTTTCCTTTCTTGGGCCTTCCACCTTTAGGGATTCCCAGATCCTTTATTTTACAGGCACTTTCAATACATTTTCAAAGGGGACACTTGGACAGTTTTGGTAGGTGACAGATACAGATTGATGTTTTTTAACCAGCCCTTTATGGACCGGAAGGCATATGGCAAGTTCTGTCTTTTTTTCTCCAGGCCGAATAAATCTAAAATCTTAATCCTTTCTCGCAAATCAAAATAACTTTCTCCTTTAGAAGACAATAAACTCCCAGACTCTTGTTTAGAACTGTATTTAAACTTAGAATTTAAACTAGGTACCCAACTATACACAGAAAATAAATTCATCCATGTAGAAATGAAAAGGGTTAAAGGCAAGGCATGGATTGCCTTGTAGCATGGATTTCCACGAAAAGGGTAAAGGCAAGACATGGACTTCCGTGTAGAAATGAAAAGGGTAAAGGCAAGGCATGGATCAGATTATGTTCTACACAGAGAAGAATGAAAATCATGGGCTAATTTCCAGATCTAAGTCAGCAAGCATTAGTTGGAAGGTGATAAAAATAAACTCAATTACAAAAAATCCTCAGATATCAGATATCCCTATATTTGTGAATTCAGTATAGCATGTGTTACTCCCACAGAAAGCATACATAAGCACAGTGAAATTCAGAGGTTGGATGTGACCATGTTGCTTACTAACACTGAACATACTGGTAACAGAGTCTCACCGAGGAAATAGTTCTAATGTGAGCCTCAACAAAATTGGAAAACAATTTCATGGGTCTCCAAGGCAGATGAGAATGTTTAAAGCTTATAATATTTTTTCTGGAATGTCAAGATTTGCTACTCTTGTCAATGCTTAAAGTAGAAAGTGATGATAAGTGGGAAGGTAGTTTTGACTGTTTTCAAGACACCCTGTACACCAACCATGTCCTCTTTAAAGTTTTAGAGCTCAATATCTATATGACATTTAGGTTGACCTGTCAACCTAGTACTTCCAATAGGTGTTATGCCACCCACTTTTCTGCTTTCAACAAATGATAACAATCAGCTACTCCTTGCTTACGATTCCCTACAGCTTTGCCCCTGTGTGAGCAGCAACTGACCACTCCCCTGGTGGTAACCTGTGTGGTTAGTAGAAGGTATAGGAGAATGATGGTAAAAACAAAGTCAAATCATGGAGACTCTTGGTTCCTTAATGTCGCATTACCACCAAATTTTGCAACTCTCTTTGGTTAGAGGATGAATGATAGGATTCAATTTTCTCGAGCTTAAAAAAATACCCAGACTATGACTGACTATATGTCAAACTGATGAAGATTCTAGGCAAAAGGTTTTTTGCCAATAGCACGGTGAAGGGCATTCTTGACCTCCTTGTTCCTCAAAGTGTACACAACAGGATTAAGTAGTGGAGTAAAGACGGTGTATGTCACTGAAATTAGCTGGTCCTGATCCCTGGTGTTCTCTGACTTGGGCTTGAGGTAGGCAATGGAGGCACAGCCATAGTGGATGATAACCACAGTGAGGTGGGAGGCACAAGTTGCAAAAGCCTTTTTCCGGCCCTCAGGAGAGGTGACCTTGAGGATGGTAGAGATGATGAGGATGTAGGAGATGAAGACCAAACCCAGCGGCACCACAATAACCAGGGAACTAACAACAAAATTAATTAGGTCATGTAGAGTGGTATCAACACAGGAAAGTTTCATAACTGGGTGGATATCACAGAAATAATGGGCCACCTGTTTATCACAAAAAGGCAGCCTGAACACAGATGAAATCTGAACTATGGCCACAAGCAGCCCAACACTGCAGGACCCACATACCAGCTGGACACACACTTTCTTGTTCATGATGATCATGTACCTCAAAGGGTTACAGATGGCCACATAGCGATCATACCCCATTGCTGTGAGCAGAAAGCAGTTGTTGATGGCCAAGGTAATAAAAAAAACATCTGGGTGGCACAGCCACCCAAAGAGATAGGTTGGCTTAGACTTAAGAGACTGGAGAGCATCCGTGGTACAATGACTAATGTGTAGACAGTCTCTGAAGTGGAAAGCATACTAACAAAGAAGTACATGGGGGTGTGAAGGTGACGATCAATGCTGATAATTGTCACAATTATGACATTGCCAGCCAGGGTTAAAAGACACAAGGTAAGAAATACCACAAAGAGGGTAAGCTTGTGTTCATGAAAGCTGGAGAAACCCTGGAAAACAAACTCCCTTATCACTGTGTGGTTCTCTCTCTTCGTTGGATAAATAAACAGATTGAAAGTACAGAGACTTAGGTCAATTAGTCAGAAGACATCAGTGCCCAATGCTTTGAGCAGGTGAATCATCTAAGAAGATAATAAGGATTCTGTTCGTGGATGGATGCCAAGTTATTGGGGACGACTGTTCACCTATAGATATAGACAGAAAAACACGATAAGAAAACAATTTCATGCATGACAATGTGTGTGTGTGTGTATATATATATATATGGGACTAAATAGGGATGAAAAAATGGAAGAAAAGACACCGGGGTAAGTTTGAAAAAGATTTCTTGGTGACCTAGCACATAAGTGTTAGAGAAAAACTAGGCTAAAGAAATAGGAAATGCATAGTTAAATTTGAAAGGAATTTTCTTTTATATTACAGTTTCAGATTTTGTTTACCTAAAACAAATTTTTCAACCTCTTCCACTTTGTTTAAACCACAATTTCGATTGTCTCTTTAAAGATCTTTCTTTCTGGGTTGCCAAACAAGACAATGCTCTCTGCTCCAACATAACATAAGTGTTTACTTTCTCCCTGTTGCTCCTGTCTGCTTGTTTCACAAACTCTTTTCATAAGTCATCAAACAGCTTCAAACCTGACTGTCACCCCAGATTTTTTAAAACAAGAGATGTTCCTCTCTTTTTTCAATGCTTGACTTGAGTCTCCTCCTCCTCAGAAAGTCTTCTCAGGACTAAATACAACCTGTCAATCCAATTCCCCGTAGTGTTGGTAAGTGTTTCCCAGTAGCTTGGTTCCGGGGACTGTGTTTATTTCTATGCATTTTCTAGCTTATACTTAGAGGAGAATTTTCACAGGTACTCTGCCTCACTAGTAGAGTAAACTGTCTTTTACAATTTCTTCAGAATTTTAAACTTTAGGGAACCGAGTTTACACATTTCTCCCTCTGTCCCCTATCTGGGGAGTTATTGGGCATCAAAAATCTCTCATTTTCAAAAAAAGTATAACAATAATAAATAGTTCCTATGGCACTTTTTAGTTTATAGAGTTTTTACGTGTATTATGTAGCATCATAACAATCCTGTGTTTTAGGTAATTATTATCCCTCTCTTGGTAAGACACCCAGGGTTAGATGATTGCACAAATTAACTCGATCTTTTAATTCTAAGACTAGTGTGATTTGCCCTATACCGCAAGTGCCTAAGAAGCAACATAATCACAAAATAAATGAGAAAGAAGATACTTTTTGTTGCTTTTATCAAAAAGAATTAATGCATTTCTTCTTGCTCTTGAGAATGAGATTACATTGGGAAAAAAATGAAAAACTGGAGAATCTTAGAATGCTTTCTCTAGATAAATAAATATTATTACATTAGTGACAATCCACGTCCATTCTTCTTGGCTTGATATTTTCGCTTCCAATTATTTATTTTAAGGAAATAATCAGAGATACATATTAGGATGTATATCTAAAGACATTTTTATATTATTTATTGGTGAAGTCTAGAAACAATGTAAATGAATAAAGGAATAATTGAATTAATTATAAAATATCCATCTGATGGGAGCTATGCAGCCATTAAGAATCTACAAAGTGCTGACATGAAAAAATACACTATATAAGTAGGTTGATTGACTGATTGAGAAATAAATTACAGACTGCAAGTTTGTAAAAATAAAAAGAACCAGAAAAGAGAGGCAAGGAAAAGAAAGGAAAAACATTCAATGACACATATGCCATTAAAAAAGTAAATATAACAAAATGCTAAAAATATGTCTTTCAAATAGTGCATGGAGAATCTATCGTTTATCATCTATCTATCTATCTATCTATCTAATATCTTCTCTATTATAAATACTATCATAAATACTTTTAATACATACATACTAATATATTATGAATCTAATATTTAATGAAATATTTAAACATTAAATATTAACGCAAAAATTAATAATAAACCATATTGGAAGAAAGTATTAATGCTGACTGTTAATTACTACAGTGGGATGCAAGTACTTGAGTGAAGGCAAATTTCAGAGTTTTCTTACTAAAGATTTTGAAGAACCAAAAAATATTAGTTTCAAAATGCTGAGAAAAATATGAAGCAAAATATGTGTTTATTTTCCTTGAAGATGTAGGAACGGGCCAGTTCTTAACCATTCCTATGTAACTGATATTCATGGTGTATTACTGAGCAAGATAAACCTCAAATGTCTATGTAACTAGAAAGTCAATCCTACCTACACTAAGCAGAATGAAAAAAATAAATAGGTGGCAGAAGAGAAAAGATTGCACTAAGTTTGTGCATTCCTGCAATTGCAACTCCTTTCTCATCATCCCCTTAGGTAAACAATGACTCACCAAGATAGCAAAGGTCCTCATGAGTGATAACGCTAGATTAGTAGGATCATGATAGCTGAAACAAAATGCCAACTTCCTTCTGTGGAATCCTTGTCACTGAGAAAAACGGCATTTTGCAACACTTTCTGTTCCCTTGTATTTTGGATTGTTAGCTAAAAATATCTCTCTACCCCTAAATTTTTTTTTAAATGTTCTTCTAGAGAAATCATTTTCTGCCTAGACCTGACAATGAATTCTGGGCCAGAGGTTAAAATTATTCATTTCATTGTTCAAGTCTTTCCAATTGGAAGCAAGCTAGAAAAGCCCAGGTGCTTCATAGTTTTCAGTCCTTTGAATATAACTGAATCATAGGACCTTAGCGTTAGGTGGTAATTTTAAAAGCACAGCATTTCTCATGAACAGTCCCTCAAATTCTGCTTCACTGCTTCCAATGATTGGAAATTCATTACCTTGTAAATAAGCATTTCCTCTTTTTTTTAAAGATACAAACTCTTCTTGAAAAATAAAACCAGGCTTTTTAAATTATAAAAGTGCTCATAGGGGAAAAACCGTGGGTACAGAAGGATATAAATGGAAAAGTTCATTTTCTCCTCTACATTTTCTTGGCCAGAGGTAAAGATGATTCATGGGTTTTTGTTGTTAGTATTGCTGTTTATTTCTGTCCAGAAATATTTTATGTACAATCATGCATATTTTCACATCATTTCAATTTTACGCAAATGGAATTAGGCAGTACATACCAATTCACAACTAGGGTTTCCCATATATTATATCCTGACTACTTTCCATAATAGTATTGTGATCTATCTCACTCTTTCTATTTCCAATGGTGCACATTATTTCATTATATAGATTAATATAGCTGTACTATCATCATTTCTATTTTGATTGACTTTAATTCTTAGAAAATATTAATTCCTATCAACTCAATATTTATTTGCTTGCAACTTACCACCTCCCACATCATTCCACTTTCTATTTTCTCTTCAATATGATTACACTTCAAATATTTGAAGATCATTATTACGTCTCTGCTAAATTTCATGTCCTTCAATCCATTACCACAGCAAGACAAGCATGAAGAAATGTAATATTAATGGACATGTGATTCAATATAACCAATCAAATACTGAACCATACAGGGAAAATAGTAAGATTTTGAAAAATGCACATGGTGTTTCATTTTCATTTACTTCTGCCAAAAGCACTCGCTGCTTCTGACCTTGGCAATAGGAAGGAGAAGGAAGCACTTTCCAGATAGTGATCTTTAAAAGGCATGAAAGGACTGAGTCTACTCAGAGAAAGCAGGTGAAAAAACCTTGTATTCAAGAGGCATTTACAACGGAAGCAAAAACACACAAAATGAGAAAAATCCAGTTCTCTCTAATATCAAAGAGAGCCTCAAATTGTTGCTATGTTCCTGAGGCTTGGGACATTGGCTCATTTGGCTTGAGAAGTGGCCCAGGGAAAAAAATACAGTCTCTTAAACTGCAGATTTCAAGAGCTGTGTATATTTATTTTCCCCAAGGAGAAGAGAATCCCTCTGCCCCAAGTCTCCTGAGATCATCCTTTTGAGAATTCCTCCATGCTACTAAGAGGTAAGGAAGGTAGAACCTGAAGGCTGGTCTCAAGAATTTCATTAGAAATGTGGGTCGCTGATGAAGGAGATGTTTTCATTTGCCTACTGACTGTTGGGGATTGTTGGAGTGTAGAAACTAATACTGCATTGAGTTTTAATAAAGTAAACCACGTGAATACTGGGTAAGCATACAAAGGGAGGACCTTAAATTTAAGTTTCTCAGTATTGGAGAGCAGCTAGCTTCCTGAAACTTATTTATATAAATAATATCAGGGTAATCAAAAGGTTATAGGGGCCGGGACATCTGTCATCCCACTTCAGCCTACAGCAAATTTCCTTGAGTCTCACTGACATACATCTCAGCCCTACTTTTCCATTTAGGGAGATCCATCACCCACACCACACTGGGAAAGGGGAGAAGACACTGTCAGAGCCCTTCCTTGTGCTCCCTTTGGTTCATTCTCTGATCCTGCTGGAGGGGGAATGAAACAGCCATGAACTTCCAATAAGTTTAATTTCTGGCTCAGCACATCCTTCTCCATTCATACAGTCTCTGCACCCATGTGAGATGTTTGAGTAACATTTCAGCCACTCTGTAAAAGGGGACAAGCCCACAAGGGCCTTCAACCCAAACTAAGAATTTTTAAATTCTGAGTTGGCCCTGTTTTCTCTCTGATTACAAACATAATGCTTGTTCATTATAGAAAAAACAGAAAAGGAAAAATAATGTAACGTAAATGACTTGTGATTTCCAATTTAGAAATCAACATCATTAACATTTTGATGAATAGGTTTCTAATCTTTTATGCATTCATATGTGTGCACCTGTCTATATACACATGTATTTATGTTTATGGTAAAAATGGGATGATTATTACTTTTGTAGCCTTTCTTCTTTTTAATAATATGAGATCATGCTATACAAACTTCCTTATATCCAGTTTACTTTTTCTCTTAGCAATGCATTTTGAAACTTTCGCATATCAATAAACATTTTCCTACATTATAATTTTTAAATAATTGCCTTGACTTTTATTACAGGAATGCTCTTTATAATAATATGGTTTGTTTGGATCAAGATTCAAATGAGCACTGCTTATTGCATTTGATTGTAACTCGTTAAAAGTTTTTTTGAGTCTAGACTAGGGTTTCTCAACAGTGGTGCTGTTGACACTTTGAAACTGCTAATTTTTGTTGTGTGTGTACGTGTGTGGGTGTGAGGTGAGTTAGGAGGGGAGATGGTCTTCTGTGTTACAAGATGTTTAGCAGGATCACTGGCCTCTACCCACCCAGAGGACAGATGCCAGTAGAATCCTTCTCTCTTTTCCCACTGTATTGGAAAAAATAAAAAATGTCTCTAAACATTACCAAATATTGCCTGGAGGGCAAGGGTATTTCAACATCCCATTGCCCCCATATTTTAAAAAGTCTCATTTACACATTAAAAAGCCAGGTCAAAATCTTACTTTCTAGATGGCATTTACTCATAGTATCATTAAATTTGTTATATCTTCTGTACTTTTTATAAATTGGAAATTAGTTTTAAAGGCTTAATTAGATTCAGGTTCAGCTTATTAAATTATATTAGATATATTAAACTGGATATACTATAACCTGTAATATAGTATATTAAACTATGGACTATATTAAACTATATATAAAAACACACATAAAATTTGGTGTATATATCAGTTTAATATATATATAAATTATAAATTTGATAATCAAGTAAAGTTGTCTGATTTAACAAAAATACAGGACATCCAGTTAAATTTTAATTTTAAATAAATAGCATAATTTTTAGGATAAGTATGTTACAAATATTGCATGGAATATACAAAATAAATTATTTATTGTTTTTTGAAATTCAAATTCAGTGCAGCATTCTGTATTTTATCTGGGAACTCTAATCAGGAGACACATACTGTTTTGTTGTCTTACTCTAAGCAAAGCTGATTTCAAAATACTATATTGTACCTCATAAATACAAACAATTATTATTTGTCTATTAAAAAATAAAATTTAATCCAGGCACTGTGGCTCATGCCTGTAATCCCAGCACTTTGGGAGGCCAAGGCAGCCGGATCACTTGAGATCAGGAGTGCAAGACCAGCCTGGACAAACCAGCATGGTGAAACACAATCTCTACCAAAAATACAAAAATTAGCAGGACGTGGTGGCGCGCCCCTGTAATTCCAGCTACTCAGGAGGCTGAGGCAGGAGAACTGCTTGAACCCGGGAGGCAGAGGTTGCAGTGACCCGAGATCATGCCACTGCACTCCAGCCTGAGTGACAGAGTGAGACCCTGCCACCAAAATAAATAAATAAATAAATAAATAAAATTTAAATGCATGCACAAAAGCTAACTGATCAATATTTCAGGTGGCAACAGCTTGCTCCTCCATTCAAATGGATCCCATCAACCTTTATCATTTAATTTATTGATAAATTTTGTCTAAATCATTTTTTTTTTGAGACAAAGTCTCTCTCTGTTGCCCAGGCTGGAGTGCAGTGGCGCAGTCTCGGCTCACTGCAAGCTCCGCCTCCCGGGTTCATGCCATTCTCCTGCCTCAGCCTCCCGAGTAGCTGGGACTACAGGCGCCCGCCACCACGCCCGGCTAATTTTTTGTATTTTTAGTAGGGACAGGGTTTCACCATGTTAGCCAGGATGGTCTCGATCTCCTGACCTTGTGATCCGCCCGCCTTGGCCTCCCAAAGTGCTGGGATTACAGGCGTAAGCCATCGTGCCCGGCCTAAATCATTTAAAATTAGGAGTTGCAAAACGGTGCTTTCTTAATCATGCCATTTCTTTTACATTTAGTCAATGGAATTATTTTATATAGAAGGTTTCTTTCATCATTTAGCTTGGGGTGCAAGCTAAAAATGAGTAAAATTGGAATTTAAGCCTCAATCTTCTAATTCTGATCCAGTGTATATTCTATTACATCCAGTGAAAGAAACTATTCTGACTACAAATAGTCATAATCCAGCAAGCCTATGTCCTATAATTAGCAGATATATGAGATGTCAGGAACATATTATAGGGGGAGGAGGCAGTACCTGCAAACTGAAGCAAATTTATAAGTGATTTCCTAAGTAAAAAAGATTAATTCTCTAGAAATAAGGAGTAAACGATGGTGCCCAAAAGAGAAAAGAATGATGCACAATTGAAAAATCTAGGGCATTTTTTCATTTCCCTCCATGCTGGCCACAAATTCTGAATAACGCATGTCAGAATAACCCATGCTTCCAACTACATAGCCATGCATGTGCCATGTAAAACCAAATTGCTTGTGGCTTCTGAGAGGACAAGAATTTTGGTTCACAAACACACTGTAAAAGGCAGGGCAAAGAAGACTCTCTTTTCTTCAGCCATGTGACTAAGGTGGCACAAAGAATTTCAGCTTCCTTTTACTCATTGACTTTATTATACTGTATTTCTAGTTAATTAAATTTACAGTCAAATATTCTGTGGTTAGAATTGTAGAAAGAGTATTAGAAGTCCATCTCTTTCCCATACTTTACATATTCTCAAGAGGACTGGCAGGCCATCGGTCATAAAAGAAAATATTCTGTGATACTAATTACCATAGAAATTAACTAAAGAATATGTCCTGGATGCTGGTTTTCCTAAGTACAGATGCAAAGACAAGATTGGTGGTTTCCACAAAGGATGAATAATTGGAGATAAGGAGTTGTCCAGCACCAGCATTCTCTAGTGCTCTTTTAGAAATATGCATATATAAATATGTACATGTAGATAAACATATTTATATATGTCTATATACACATTGTTATATATATTATTTCATATATTGTATATTATATATAAATATATAATGTATTATATATGTATATAGGCATATTTATATATGTATGTATATTTATATATAAATATAAAATTATATATTATATATGTGTGCAGATAGATAAAGACTTGCCTCTGAGGAAGGAAAGGATGATTTATTAGGTTGTAACATCTTGATATAATAATCAATGAATTAATTGCTCATTTGCCTCTCTAATAAATACATATTAAAAATCTAAGCATGCTCTCTGCTGTGCTGAGTATCAGATAAAGAGCAGTGAACTAAACTAATATAGTCATTGACTTCAATGAGGATGTGATAAGGAGCTAGACCAGGAAAGATGCAATTTTCATATATTGTGATACATGCTATGATAAGGTAAGAATGGAGTAATATGGGAGCAATAAGTAATCTTCTGGCATGCATTTTAATATATGAATTGCTTACATTCACCAGAAAGTGAAAGCCATATAGAAATGACTGGTCTGGTACACTTACTGTTAAAAATGAATACATTCACATACTAAGTTATTTTGTAAGTTTGAGTAATGTCTCAGAGACTGGTCAGCTCCAGTGAGTTTACCATTGAGATCTAGGGCTTGCATGGTAGAGACACAGACCCTGGATCATGGGGGCTACACCAAGATTTTTCTAATTACCAAATTCATCGGACTATTCTTGGTTCTTTCCCTACTTCATAACTGAAACATTTAACACTATTAATCACTCTCCCTCTTGAAATGCTCTTCTGCCTTGGTTTTGTGACACTACTATCTCCTGGTGTTTCTGTTAGAGTTTACTGGATGTGGTCATTTAGTGTGTAGTGTGCATCTGTCAGTCTGCACTGCAGAAGCGATGGTGAATGTCATTTACTCTGGTAATTCAGTTAACCTGGGTTATCAACAGAGCTCTACTGCACTCTTATCATTTCAGTATGTGATTAACCTAAATATTTTAACCATCCACTAACTCTATCTCATCATTCTAATTTAATTCTCTCTGTGTTACTACCTGGTATATTTTGTTCAATAATTTGTTCACTTTTTAATTGACTTTCTCCCCATGATGGACTATAATAATCCTTGAGGGCACCTGTTCTCTCATCCTTTCCTTGGTCCTGTATCTTCAACTAAAGCAGCAGCAGAAACAACAACAGGAGCCTCACAATTTAGTACTGCATTTTCCACTAATTAATTGCTTAGATATATAATTCTCACAAAACATTCTGAGGGGTTCGGGCTTCTCAATCCCTAAAATGAAGAAATTTAAATTGGTTATGACTATGATCCTTTCCTTTTTAACATTTTTCCTATACTTTAAGACTTATGATAAAAACTCATTAGGAAACTAGAAATAACATGTCTTCCCCAAGTCACTTCTAACAAATATCCCATGGTTATCGTCAGTCCTGCCATCTTTCCACTATTCTGCTTCCAACTCCTTTCTTTCTTTGACTTCCACTTTCAAATCTATCACGACCTCCTGCTGCTCTTTCTTTTCTGCCAGCTCAGAGTCAGAGGCATAGAAGGCAAGGTTACTGTAGATCTTGAACTGTCAACCTGGCAGGCAAGATAGGAGAGTGAAGGACTCATCAACTAGCCAGTAGCAGTCACTGCTCTTTAGAAGCCACCTTAGGACCAAATTGTTCAAGTAACTGAACTGTTATCTTCCTGAACTCCTGCAATTCTAATTGCCAGAAAACATCTAGATGTTGGGCCTGCAGAGGACCTTAGCACACTTGTAGTACAATCTTTCCATTTCATACACACAACTGTGTTGAAAGAAGTCTCAACTTGTGAGGTGTAAACATGAAATCATTATTTTTGAAATTACTACTACTGCTGTGGACCCATTCTTCTTGGGCAGTAGCCTCCCTTAATGACTTCTTAGACTAATTCCATAACCTTTTAATCACTTTATGCTACTAAAACAGTCTCATTGGAGTTATTAGGCACAATCAAATCTAATTAATTTTGATTTTATAAAATTAATCAATTTAATTTTATCTTCTGTTCAAAATTCTTTTCAGTCTCCAGCATCCTCCACCTGTCTACCACCGAGCATGGGGTAAGTTTATGGCTCCAGTGGCTTGTTATGTGTTGGGAGGTAAAGGGTGATGGCCACACTACTCACATCCCTCCCTCTTCCAGATATCAGCCCCTTCCTTGAGAGTAGGAAGAAGAAAGCAACTCTCCATGCTGTATTAGCTGTCGGCTCCTTGTTTTGTTTTAACTGCTATTCCTGTGTGAACACTACCTCATAAGTGGAGGTCAGATTGTGGTAGTGTAACCTTTTTGCTAGTTGTCACCATTTCTCTAGCATTATTCATTGTTCTTTCTCATTTGCAGTGATTCAAATATAGGTGCTCTCATGGGAATACCTTTGTAGGTTCTCCAGAAGAACCTATGTCCCATGCATCTGCACAGCAAAAAGAATGACCTATTAACTTATGGTTCAATCAATTCTACTTTCCTCTGCTCTCATTGCAGGCCGCCCACTCCAGAGCCTCTTGTTATTAGAGTTCCCCTCACCCAGAGAGTGTCCCCTTTGAGGGAGAGGGACAATATGGCTTAAGTTCTTGTCACTTTCCTTTATGCCCACCTAACTCAGGGGTACTTAAGTAGGTGCCACACAATGGAGGCTAACTCTAGCACCCTCTCTCTCAGGTCCATTACTTCTAACCTGCCTTTTCCTGCAAACCCTAGCAGTGTCAGATTCTCCATCAGTACCCTAGCAGTGTCAGATTCTCCATCAGTATCTTGCCTCATAAATTTTAAGTCAAAAGATGACCACAAACTCTCAACTTATTGGAGGGAATAATTAAGTTATCCCAAATGTTGTGGCCAAAGTGCTGGAGCACCTTGTTGAATGCCTTTCTTCCTCATGTTTAAGATCCCTACCATTCAGACCTCTAAGCTTCAAATCCTGGCTTTGCCATTCACTAGTTGTATAATCTAAACCTCCCTACCTCATTAAAAACAAGGATGCTGATAGTACCTGTTTCATAGGATTCCTGTGAGTATTAAATAGGATAAAGCACAATGCCTGAATACAGTCAGTGTTCAAAAAATATTAACAGTTACCTGTGCTTATATTTTTATTAGAACACATCCTAGTTTCTCCATTATTCTTCCTGCTTATGGAAATCAAGTTTTTAATAAAGTCATTGTGGTTTGGATGAACTCCCTTCTGCATTTTTGTATTCTACGCAGTATTCCACATATTGCTATGCACATGGCAACTGCTTAACAAATCAAGAAATACATTGCAGTTTCTCTGATATAATGCATTTTTCTGTAATGCAAATTAGTCTATATGCTATAGGCAAGCCAAGGAATAATGTCAATATAACATTGAAGTTGGTTGAAACAAGATTTTTTTCTAGCAAGTTAATATTTTGAACTACCAAGGAACAGCTAACACAAATCTTACTAGCACAGTAGAACATGGCAAGGAATAGAATATTCTGCACAGTAACTATTCACTTCAAGGTTTTCTCTTGGCTTAGTTTTACCACAAGTGTATCTTGAGCATGTTTGTTCTCTGGTTTTCCCCTGCTTTTGTGTATTTTCTCTTTGTCATCTTCTTCCACCAACCTTTGAAAGTGATCAAGTCCTAGATTTACTGTTAATTTTATTTATTACAAATTTAACATATCTTTTTAACTGCATAGTTCATTTGGTAGAAATACTAATGTTTATGTTACTGCTCTGATGGTAGGTTTTCATGATCTGTAACAGTCTTTTTTTCCTCTCAAAGACTTGTTAGTTTTAGTTATTTTTGCAGAATGCAAAACAATTTAAAAAAATAAATGTATGTTACATGTTATGGCAGAAACACCTGTGTTATGTTCAAGAAAGATTTAAATTGAATGAGTGAAAGCCACTTCTCTCTTCTTGATTATGCAAGGGCTTAACTTCTTCAATTATTTAACTTATACTTCCCTTATTCCCTCTCTGCTTACTGAATTATTCCTGTTAGCTAACAAATACAATCCAGCATCTTATATAAAACAAGAATCCTCCCTTAACCCCACATCTTCCTATACCACCATCCCACAGCAAAACTTCTCAGAATATTGTCCGCACATGTTGCCTATGCTTCCTCAATTCCTATTCACTTTTTTAGCCCACTTCAGTTTGCTTTTTACACATATTACTCCACTGCCATTGCTAAAGTCCCAAAAACTTCCATATTGCTAGATTCAGAGGATAATTGTATTCTCTATTTTACTTCACCTCTCAACAAGATTCAATGTAATTAACGATTTCCTCTAGAATTGTACTCTCTTCTTGGTTTTAGTGACATAATTCCCTGTGAGTTTTCTTACCTTATCAGCTGTTTTCTCTAGCCTCTGTTCTGGGTCTTCTGATACTCATCTTCAAGATATTGAAATTTCCTAGAGTTCTGCTCTGAGACTTTCTCTGTTGCTTAATTTCTTTTTCTCTCTCTTCAGCTGACCTCATCTTACTCAGTGGCTTTAAAGTATGCCAGTGATTCTCTACTTTCTCTACTTTATATCTCTAATATAGACATTTCTACTGGTCTCTCAACATTTTTTTTGTAACTGCCTATTTAGCACAGACTCTTAGATACAATAAAGATGCTTCAAACTAAAACACTTCCCAACCGGAACACTTGGTTGATTTCTCCCCCAATTCTAGTACTTCCCTTAAATATAGTACTTCCCCAGTCTTCACCATGTAATTACTGTCTACCCAGTTATTACAGCCAGAAATTTAAGAATCATATTTTATACTTTCTGTGCCCTCCAATCTGTCAGTAAGTCCCATTAATATATATACCTCAAACCCATCAACTTTTCTTTATCTATACTACCACTTCTCTAGACTATCTATCATCATATTTTGACTCTTAAGCATTTCCCAATATCTGCTCAAAAAACCTACAGATTACATGACGACATACCTATCTATATATAGATAGATCGGTAGACGTTGAGAGAATGTGGGTGTATACACATATACTATACATATACATGTCTATGGTTTGAGTGTTTATCCCCTCCAAACTTCGTGATGAAACTTAATTTCCAGTATGGCAGTATTGAGAAGCAGGACCTGTAAGAGGTAATTGGTTCATACAGATTCTGCCCTCATGAATGGATTAACCTAATTATGAATTAATAGATTAATTGAATAATGGGTTATCATGGGAGTGAGACTGGTGGCTCTAAAAGAAGTGGAAGAGAGACTAGAGCTTACAGGCTCAAGCCCCCCTTGCCATGTGAATCTCGGTGCCACCTCGGGAATCTGCAGAGAGTCCCCATTAAGAAAGAATGTCCTCACCAGATAGACCCCTTGACCTTGAACTTCACAGTCTCCAGAACTTTAAGAAATAAATTTATTTTCTTTATAAATTTCAGTCTCAGGTATTCAGTTATAACCACAGAAAATAGACTAAGACATACATGAAGAGCCATCAAACTGTATTAAGCAGGGGAATATATATACATACACACTGTGTGTGTGTGTGTGTGTGTGTGTGTGTGTGTATGTGCATTCTTTTGCTTCACACAGTCCGGTGGCTCTTTCTTAGCTTTCAAATAAAATCCCAACACTTTTTCATGTTCTTCCAGGCCCTCATGATCTGGCCCCTATGTGTATCTCCAATCTCGTTTTATGCCATTGGCCTTCTACTCGCTATGCTTCAGCCCTAATGTCCTTCTCTTAATTTCTTTTTTTTAAATTTTATTATTATTATACTTTAAGTTTTAGGGTACATATGCCCAATGTGCAGGTTAGTTACATATGTATACATGTGACATGCTGGTGTGCCGCACCCATTAACTCGTCATTTAGCATTAGGTATATCTCCTAAAGCTATCCCTCCCCCCTCCCCCCACCCCACAACAGTCCCCAGAGTGTGATGTTCCCCTTCCTGTGTCCATGTGTTCTCATTGTTCAATTCCCATCTATGAGTGAGAATATGCGGTGTTTGGTTTTTTGTTCTTGTGATAGTTTACTGAGAATGATGATTTCCAATTTCATCCATGTCCCTACAAAGGACATGAACTCATCACTTTTTATGGCTGCATAGTATTCCATGGTGTATATGTGCCACATTTTCTTAATCCAGTCTATCACTGTTGGACATTTGCAACCTACTCATCTGACAAAGGGCTAATATCCAGAATCTACAATGAACTCAAACAAATTTACAAGAAAAAAAACAAACAACCCCATCAAAAAGTGGGCGAAGGACATGAACAGACACTTCTCAAAAGAAGACATTTATGCAGCCAAAAAACACATGAAAAAATGCTCACCATCACTGGCCATCAGAGAAATGCAAATCAAAACCACAATGAGATACCATCTCACACCAGTTAGAATGGCAACCATTAAAAAGTCAGGAAACAACAGGTGCTGGAGAGGATGTGGAGAAATAGGAACACTTTTACACTGTTGGTAGGATGGTAAACTAGTTCAACCCTTGTGGAAGTCAGTGTGGCCATTCCTCAGGGATCTAGAACTAGAAATACCATTTGACCCAGCCATCCCATTACTGGGTATATACGCAAAGGACTATAAATCATGCTGCTATAAAGACACATGCACACGTATGTTTATTGCGGCACTATTCACAATAGCAAAGACTTGGAACCTTCTCTTAATTTCTACAATTCTCCAAAGTCTTTCTTTTTATGGGGACTTTCAACTTCCCACTGCTTGAAAATTCTTGTTCCAGCCTTTGTCTTGTTTCATCCTATCTCGTACTTTAAGTCTCTACTTAAAAGTCATTTTTCATCAAATGGCCTTTCTTAACCCTATTTAAAACAGATTGTCCTTGTACGTCTATGGAGCAACATTATTTACTTTTTACAAACGTTAGTCACAAGCTGTCACTGTTCTGTTTACTTATTTATTTTCTGTTTTCTCCAATAGAAAGTCTTCTCCCCAAGGGAAAAGATCTTGTCTGCTTATTATCTCTCTTGTATCACCAGCAAATGACAGAGTGCTTGGAATATAAATACTTGTTGAACAAAGAAATGAAAATATATGATGAAGAATGTTCCTATGCTGAAACTAAATTTTTGTGTTAGTTTTAGTGACAGAAAGATCAAGTAACAGGTCTGTATCCATATTTAAGCCATTTCTTTATTTGTCCATAATAATTCAAGCTCAGAGATTGCCTGTTTGGAAAAGTATATTATAAAAAACACTATTAATAAACTTCAAGACATAGTTTGCTCATTCTGAAAAATTAGAAAATATAATTAGCCAAAATTCTACCAGCAAACTATGATCAAATGCTAACTTTAATGAGATAGCCCTTGATAATTCTGAAGTTATCTTTTTTCTCTTAAAGATAAATTGGCATCATGAGATTATTGAAATATATGGTTGATTAGTATAAATTCAATTTAGGAATTGAGAATACAAAAAATTATTTATTTTACATTCTCTGCTATAGACTTCTAATTAACTCTTGCCCCTTGGGTCATGCAGAGAAGATTTTCTTCATATATCTTTCTGCAACGTGACTGTGCTATTACCTATGATAAAGAGGGTTGTTCTGTGTTTGGCAGCCTATTCTAGGGTGGGCCTTGTGTCAGTTCCTTTTTTTGTCCACCTGTCTCTGAACAACATAAAACCCTCATTCATAGGTGCAGCATGACTTAATTTGTCGGTCACTAGATGCAGTTGTAAATTGCAAACAAAAAAATGGAAATGCAGATGTTGAAATAAAGATGCAATTTTTGGTTATGAAATGGTCATCTGAATGATCCATATTTATATTCATTTATTTATTATCAATGAAAAACGTACAAATTTTCTAATTAAAAAACTTACAAATTCCTAATTATAATAAACACTATTCTACGGGAATGGCCACCAAAATGTCCCAAATTTTATGTCACTGAATCTATTTCTAATATTCGGTCTAATAGTCTAATCACAGACACTCAATATTCATTTGTTTTCTTGAACCTCTATGATAATCTGCAAGTGTTTCCCGTTTTGGAAGAGACAAAGGAAAAAGCTGTGATGAATATCACTGGAAACTGCGGATCAGGGCCCCTATTCCATGTTTCTCTGGCCCTTTTTTCTTCTTCAGAATTTAGCAGTGGTTTTCAATCCTATCAGATCACATTTGATAGCATGCATTTATTCCTGTGTTTGTAAGGCATAAACCTGTAACCACACTACAAATAGTGAGAATATTGCTGTGAAACTGCATACTCTATGCACTCCCAACAATCAATAATAGAAAATAAGTGGTGCTCAATGATGCTAGAGAAAAGAATAAATTATATTTCTAGTTTGTCTATAAAAATGATATTACAATATCTCTGTCTGAGGAAGAGGAGATCAAATAACATGTAATAACAATATTTTGAAAAGGAAGAGGATAGTGGAATATCTGTTTACTTTCTGATGAATTTTATAATGTTTATGTCATTTGTCAGCTGGTATATTTTTAACCTTTTGTGATTAACTTTCTTGTCCTAAATAGTAATTTTAATATCTAATATTGTATTCAAAAATTTCTACTGGATTTTTTAAGGAAGCCCCCTTAAACTGTTTAAGTTTCAGGGCCTCAAACTGGATCTACCTCTGCTACTTACACACACATATATTTTTTAATCAGTAAAATTCCCAGTTTTAATATAAAGAAGAAATAAAGGGAAATAACATTATAATAGGAAAATATGTCCTTCATGAATATGAGTGCTACAAAAACAGACTGATATGAGAATAAGGTATTGGTGACACAAATATCATGAACAGTGTAGCTACAGGTGATCTGATTTTCTGAAACAGTGAAAAATTCAAGGATGTTTTTCCAGTAAAAGCCAAGGATAATCTTTCCTCAATATACATGGTAGTTTCTTTTCTGTAAAATACAGTATGTATGAGAAATGCAAAAGATGCTTTTGTGTTTTTCACAGTCGTGTTTAAGGCTCAGATAATTATAAAATATCTGGCTGCACATTGAAAAGATGTGCAGAATCAGGCCAATTATTTAGTATGCAAGGCTGCCTTCAGTATTGCAGGGCATTTGTTTGCCTGCTAATGCTACAAATGTCTCCTGTATACTCATCATTGAAACAAGCAACCCTCAATACACATACATACATTCTCATGCATAAACTTACATTTCCTAAAGGCCTTTTGTAGGTGGTAACACAGAGTATGATGAGAAAGTTTCAGAATGCGTCCTGCCCCTCCCACTGTTCCCATCCTCACTCATACCCTCTTTCACGCACTAGAAACACACGGGTCACAGAACTGTTTAGCCAGAGTCCTGAAAAATTAGGTCTTCAAAAGTTGCCTATTAAAATGCAAATGTCCTGGTCTGGGCTAAGATCTCTCATCCTTGTCTGTTAACGGCCTAAAAGGATTCCTTTAAGAGATTTCTCTTTCCGTTTTGAAACTGTGTAATTCTGTAAGGAAGCATAAAATAAACCTGGCCTACACTACATTCGGCTTGAGGGCTGACTCTGCACAATGGGGATTTCTCTGTCTCGTACCACACCTGAAAATGATCTTCAAACTTCCTAACGCCACTTCTGCAGACATGCGTGTGTTGGAGGTGTGGGTGTGGTTATGTGTGTGATGATGTCTGTCTCATTGACATGATTACTGCTGTGTGATCCTGGCTGCATCCTGTGAGAACAAGGTTTTGCCTTCTGGACCCACCAGTGGCCTTCCAGGTTCTTCATCCTCAGGACAGACCAGGAGGATGGGAAAGGAGGCTCTCTCTCTGCTGCTCTCAAGTCTAACCAAAGGCTTCTTGCAAAATAATTATAGTATTCATGAAAACTAGTATATGTTCTGTTCTAACCACCTCACCACATTAACTCATTTTATGCTGATAACCACCCTTAAGGTAGGTACTATTACTATCTCCATTTTACTGGTGAGAAGGCTGAGGCAAAAAGAGTTTGAGTGGTCACAGCCGAGACTCAAACTTTAGAGCTTGTTCCTAGCCTGAACTCTTAATTAATCTTGCACTTAATTTCTTTAAATTATCTATGGCTAAACTTTTATTTTTATTCTTTTAATTTTTAAAAATTTAGTGTGATATTCTGGTATTTTTTTTAGCTGGGTATGGTGGCACATCCCCATAATCCCAGCTTCTTGGGAGGATGAGGTGGGAGGGATCACTTGAGCCTGGCAGTCCGAGACTAGCTTGGGCAGCATAGTAAAACCCAGTCT
Organism: Homo sapiens; assembly: GCF_000001405.40. Lineage (NCBI taxonomy): Eukaryota > Metazoa > Chordata > Mammalia > Primates > Hominidae > Homo > Homo sapiens. The sequence continues at coordinate 49,700 of NW_025791759.1, forward strand.
CAAAAAAAATTTTTTTTAAAGAAGGAAAACTTTTTTATACTACAACTTTCCTTAAGGATCTTCCTCAGTGGGCTTATAATATTGTTCTCCCCATTATGAAGAAAATGTCAGCTCACTTAACATCTGTATCTGTTGGAAGACATGAAGGTAAGTTTGAAGCCCTTTGGGCTTCTTGGCTGAAATATACTATTTATAAGGTAGAGGTCATGATCAATTTGTTTGAGTCCACCTTATGGTTCAGATTGTACCCTTAACTACAAGACACCACAAAGATGCTTCATCGGCAAAGTGTGAGTGGCTGATTACATATCTTGAAGACAGGCAGCTTGATATCTAGATGCCCACACCTATGCACTATAAAAGAGTGTAGATTATGCTCAGTGATACGCCTTGGATGTTTTCTCCCCTCCAAATCTCATGTTGAAATGTGGTCCCCAATGTTGGAGGTGGGGCCTAGTTGGAAGTGTTTGGGTCATGGAGGCAGATCTCTTATAAATGGCTTGGTGCCTTCCCCATGGTAATGAGTTCACATGAGAGCTGGTTGTTTAAAGGAAACTAGAACCTCCCTTTTCACTCTCTTCTTTAGTAGTCCTGGGAGTTTCCATTTATTTCCTTTGGATTTATTACTTTTAGACCCATTCAGGTCAAGACAAGAAGTAAAAAATATTAAAGTCACTGACTTTCTTGTGAAAATCTAACAGGCAGTCAGCATCTGCTATTGATGCTCTTTCTTGAGCAGAAACTCCTGTTCAGGGTAGCAAAAGAAAGTAAATGCAGCTGATATCCTCCTGGCCCTAATATAGAGGAAAAAGGAAAGAATCCCTCTCTCCTTTCTTCTTTTTAGGCATGTCCATGAAATATACATAGCTAACATACCAACAGTACCAACATTGTGTGGCTGTGAGTTGAGATGTCATGGCCTGAATTAAGAAAGGGAACTTATAGAACAGAAAGTTGGTTTAGATCAGTGATTTCCTATTTGTGGGTTATGGAACCCTTGAATCCAAGGAATTTCTGCATGAGGACTATGAATCCATGTGCACTTAATCACAAAGTGTAGACTCAATGAATAAAGACATCTTTATCTATCTATCTGTCAATCAATCATCTATCTATCTGGTCATGAGCATGTGCTCTTAAGACATATTGCCAGGTTCAAATTCTAATTCCTTTACATAGCAACTGTGTGCCCTGGGACAAGTTACTTAACCTCTCATGCTTTGATTTCCTTATTCTTAACTACATAGAGTTGGTAGTAGGAGGAAAATAGATAGGACATGTTGCATAGTTAGCCTTGTATTTGATCCTCAGGGAGAGATCAACATTTGTTAGGTACATAAATATCACGAGCAGACAGGCATTTTGCACTTTCATCGTTTCATATTCAATTTTATATGGACCTCACCTTGTTTTAGAGAACTTTGAGAGTGAGAAGGAAGCCAGCAGATTGATTTGGTTTTTCTGCTTCCCAGTTTTGGAGAAGGACATAAAGGCTAACACACTGTATAGGCTGAGCCTTGATCCTCCCTCTGCCAGGCACGTCCCGAAACACAAAAGTTCCTGCCCAAAGCCTCTCACGCTGGATCCAGTTGCAGGGGCACCTCACAGTCCTCAGGCCCTGTAGCTCATGTACAGCCATTTGTTTCATTTTTCCACTGCTACAAAATGAAATATAGATTAAGGCTCCCAACATCAAATAACAGGTCCAAGTTTGGGCATAGTGATACTCTTTGTGTATTGAGCATTCCTGTACCCAGAATCAGAAGCAAGAACTGAAATTTAGACACGCCCTATTGATTTCAGTGAACGTGTGTTCCTGATGTGGACAGGCTGGGTATGAGAAATTAGTAGCAGCCCACTCCACCCAGATAATGGATATGAAACTTGAAGGACTTTTTTTTTTATATATAAGATAAAAAACCTGTGGCATTCAACTGTGTATCAGCCCGTTCTTCCAGGGAGGAATAGAGCTCTTGTTTAATGTTAGTGTTAATGTGTTCCTTCTGTGTTCTTGTTCTGTTCTTTTGGGTACCTGTAGTTATATGCTATGGAAATTAGGGTATGGCTTTTTCTTTCCGATGCTGTTAATGGTTTGCTTTTTTGGGGTGGGGGTGGGCTGGGAAGATGGGTAGTTTGGTTGCTTTTTAGGCTTTAATGAGCTGCTTTTATTGGACTGCTACATTTTTGCTGTTACTGCTACCAAAGCACTTCCTTTATTTCAATACCGGGCACTTAAGCAAAAGCTTTAGAATGATAAATCCAAAGTTTCAGAAAGCTTTAGAAATGAAAGTGGCCTCCCTAACTCCAAAGCTTATACTCTTCGAACTAGGAATAGTACCTCTCGATGAGCCCTGCTCCATCTCCCATCTAAGTAGGAGCTATTTAGATAACGACTTCAGAGGAAGCCTTTAAATAGACTATTTGAGTCATGGTAAAATGACTCTCTCTGAGGGACAATTTGATTGTAGGTTCACTGTCCTAGGAAAAAGGAACCCAAATTTCCCCTGGCAAAGTCTCAACAAACTGGTAAAGTAGAATCTTTCCCCGTCTCTTCCAGGGCTTAGGGCTTCAAATATTGCCCTCTGACAGCACCTTAAAAACTACATCTTCCCTATTTCCTCCTCCTTCTCTTCTCCAATCCTATCCAACAACTTTCTGCATTCTGTTCTTTCCTGATTATGCTCTCTTCTTTGTGACTGTGGAGAGGATTGAGATTGCGTAGATATATTAAACTAGCATAAGATGTTGTTTATCAAATTAAACATACTATGTAGGTTGACAATAACTTTAATCCAGTCAAAATTCATATTTCTCCTATAAGTCTTTAATAAATAATGATAATAAAGAAGACAAAAAATGTATTTATTGACCATATTTCACATGTCAGATGCTGTGCAATGCATTTTACTTCTTTTTTATCTTATTAAATCTCATAATATAACCATGACCTGGATACCATTATTGTCCCTATTATACAGGTAACCTTCAATCACATAAAAATTAGGAACATTTGAATTCAGAGCTTAAAACACAAACAACTTGTACTTTTCAAAATAACTTGCTGTTACCTTTAAGGTCTGTCATTAAAACATAGCATGTCCTGGGCTCAGTACCTAATCTTTCTTATCTGAAACTTAAATTCCTATTTATTAACCTTTTTAGCCCTATATTTTCTAATTCCATAGAAAACTAAAGGTTTTGGTTAGATCTTCATGTGGAATGACTGGTTTCATTCAATAGACTTAATTCAGCAGTCTGTGGGGAAGAGCAAGGTATGATAGAATGGTTCCTCAAGTGCTTCAGATGTGAAGTGGGTTTAAATATACTGTCCCTGTCTTCTTCAGAGTTTTGGTAAAGATAAAATAGGACACTCATTTAAAAGCAATCTTTGCAAATGACAAGCCACTATAGACATTAATAGAGTTTTCATTTCCAGTATTATCATTAATATCAGATCCTGGAAGAAGGTTGAGCCTTGACCTAGAGCAAAAAAACAGAAGAATTAGTAAAGGAATCCTGGAGAAAGCCCCTGCTGTGTATTTAAAGGAGAAAGGGAGATCATGTTGGGAAATTATAATATTAAAAGTAAACAAAAGCTAGGAAGTAAAATAAAATAAATTATATGGCCTAGATCCCCATAAGTAATGGTTTAACTTCTGCCTTCCTGTGTTCTGAGCCAGATTAGGGCACAGTAGAGAAAGAGGAGTCTCTGAAAATGTTTCCAATTTCGCTGGTCAGACAGCGGATCATCAGTGAATCAGATGAAAATTTGTGGATTTATGCACTAACTGATCAGCAGGAAATTAAACAAGAAAAGCGTTGGTAGCTCTGGTGAATCCCAAAAGAATTTGGCAGTTGCTAGCCATGCTCCTGAATATGTATAAACAGTACATCATATGACTAAGAGTTTGACTTAGGGGTTAGATTTTATGTGTTTGAACCCCAAATTAGTTATTTAATAGTTGGCACCCCAAAACAAGTTACTTAACCTCACTAAGATTCAGTTTTCCTGTTTATAAAATGTAGATAGTGATAGTATGTACTTTATAGGATTATTGTGAAAAATAAATGAAATATCAGATTTATTTAGGATAACACCTGGCATATGTTTGGTATTCAGTAATTAGTTGCTGCTGTTTTATTCTGCTCTCCCTTGCATCCCACTTTTCTAAGTTGTAAACTAAATAGTTGTACACAGATTGACAGATTAAGAAAGGCTTGTGATTGTGCTAGACCTATGCCTCTCTCTCACCAGATTCCAGGTGTATATGTGGAGGTGGGATAGGGAGTGGAGTAAGTGGGTAAATATTAAATTGCCCAGTTGGGCACCATCCTGAATATTATCTCTAAAGAAAGAAGCAAAACCAGGCACAGCTGATGGGTTAACCAGATATGATACAGAAAACATTTCCTTCTGCTTTTTGGTTTTAAGCCTATATTTGAAGCCTTAGATCTCTCCAGCACAGTAAGCACCAGGAGTCCATGAAGAAGATGGCTCCTGCCATGGAATCCCCTACTCTACTGTGTGTAGCCTTACTGTTCTTCGGTAAGTAGAGATTCAATTACCCCTCCCAGGGAGGCCCAAATGAATTTGGGGAGCAGCTGGGGTAGGAACCTTTACTGTGGGTGGTGACTTTTTCTAGGACATGTGCAAACTATTGGGCATTTCCCAGGGACTCTGTAGTGGAGCCAAGCTAGAAAGCAGAGGCAAGTGGGCTGAGCAACACCTAAGGAGGAAGCCAGACTGAAAGCTTGGTTCCTTGCATTTGCTCTGGCATCTTCCAGAGTGCAAATTTCCTACCAAGGAAATGAGGGTAGAGGAGAGAAAGAAGCTCTTTCTTCCCCTGATTCTGATTCCTGAAAAGACGGTTGGTCCTTAAAATTCCATGGATGTAGATCTTATCCCCACACCCAGATTCTAGTCCTCTGGAGATAAAGAAGACTGCTGGACACTAATGTATCCTCTCTGGACTTTTGCAGCTCCAGATGGCGTGTTAGCAGGTGAGTCCTCTGTTCTTGTTCCCTTGGTGTTTCAACATGTCTGGGCATTGCTTTCCTCTCACTATTTTCTTCGTCCCATCACTTCTGCTTTCTAATGAGCATGAATCTGTTCCTTGGCCAGACTACTTTCCCTCTCCACCTTGCCTTGTCTTTCTTTTTTTCCCTGATTCATTGCATTCTCTCAAGTCATTCTCTCCTCTGTTTTAGTCAATAACCATGTCTGTTGCACATATACATGTCTCATTCTCTCTCCTAGACACTTTGGCATGATCTCGCTCAATAATTACATTATTATTATTATTGCCATTTTATAATTGAGGATGCTGAAACTCAGTGATTTTCTGGTGGTTACATGGCTAAGGAACTGGATTTCAACGTAAGTTCCTTGGATCTAAGTCCAGTTCTCTTCTGACTATATCACCCTTTTGTTATCACCATGTATCTACTTCTTTGGTCTCTGTTCAAATTTGCACTACATCCCCTTGTTCCAGGAAGCCATTCAAGACTGACTTTCTTAGTGCCTCTCACTACTTTCTGGAACTGACATATGTTTTTCACTCTGTATATACTTACAATTAAATAGTCATAAATATTCAGAGCTTGGAGAAACCTTATATTTCATCCAGTCCAGTAAATTTATCCATCCATAATTCACTCATTCATTCACATAATAAATATTTAATGTAACAATGGTTGAACATGGCAGACAGTGTTTCTACCTCAAAAGAGATTGCAGTCCTCATTTACAGATACTGAATTGAAATTAACAGAAGTAGAGTGAGTCAGCTCAAATCACATAGTGAATTGGTTTCTTTGTTTTTAAATCTCCTGCATATGTGTCCTGTCTTTCTCCCTGTGTTGGGCGTTCCCTGGGGCACCAATACTAATTTCTCCTTCCCCTAGAAATCAAAACAGGGTCTTATCACCAACAGAATAAGGACAGGTTGACCACTGATTGTCAGAATATTGCTTCGTTTGTACTTTTAAGCCTAGACAGTTTTCAATGACTTTTTTTCTCTCTACATGTCTTTTCATATTTTTATCTTCTTGAAGTCCCTCAGAAACCTAAGGTCTCCTTGAACCCTCCATGGAATAGAATATTTAAAGGAGAGAATGTGACTCTTACATGTAATGGGAACAATTTCTTTGAAGTCAGTTCCACCAAATGGTTCCACAATGGCAGCCTTTCAGAAGAGACAAATTCAAGTTTGAATATTGTGAATGCCAAATTTGAAGACAGTGGAGAATACAAATGTCAGCACCAACAAGTTAATGAGAGTGAACCTGTGTACCTGGAAGTCTTCAGTGGTAAGTTCCAGGGATATGGAAATACAGATCTCTCATGTGAGGGATGGCTCATCTGAAGATGGGAAAAAACAGGTTATTCCAAGGGTTAGGACACCAGAGTGGGATTCAAGGCCTCTCATTTTTAAGACCCCTGCATTGGCTGGGCACAGTGGCTCACGCCTGTAATCCCAGCACTTTGGGAGGCTGAGGCAGGTGGATCACGAGGTCAGGAGATCGAGACCATCCGGCTAACATGGTGAAACCCCATCTCTGCTAAAAAATATATATATATAAAATTAGCCGGGCGTAGTGGTGGGCACCTGTAGTCCCAGGTACTCGGGAGGCTGAGGCAGGAGAATGGTGTGAACCCAGGAGGTGGAGGTTGCAGTGAGCTGAGATCACGCCACTGCCCTCCAGCCTGGGCTACAGAGCAAGACTCCGTCTCAAAAAATAAATAAATAAATAAAAAAGACCCCTGCATCTCTTTTCTTCTACCCCCTTCCCTTTTGATTACTTGTATGCCTTCTTTCAATATTCTAGTCATCTCTCAATATTATTCCTCCACCCTATTTTCCTCTATCTTTTCTGCCTAGATTCAGGTATATATTATGTGGTCAAACAGCATGACATATATGTGAACATTTCAAAGAGCTGTGTATCTGGAATAGGATCAAAAGGTTTGACTTAAAGTTTTGCTCTGCATAATCCATATGGCAGGACCTGAATATTAGGTTGTACTCTTCGTTATGAAACATATCTGGGTACATTTCCTTATGTCCTCTGTTGTTACTTAAGAACACATATTTCATGCTTGTTTCATTTTTATCACTCCTACTGCCAACAAATAGCATAGCATGCTTAGGCACATGTGGCTTAATTAGCAAATGTTGAATAAACAAATTAATGATTTTGAATAGTGACCAATAGGTCTCTTTTATACTCTATATTTTTCTCTTGAGTGAAAAAAAATGTTTCAACCTCCATATGTAAATTCCAAACACAAACTAAAGCAATGTAGAATAGCTTCTTTATTCCCTGGAGTAGGTTCTAGAGAAGTCCTAAAGGATTGGTCCTAAATTAATTATGCTTATTATGCTAGCGATATTTCCTTTCAAAATTCTCCTTTAATGAATGCTTTTTAATTTTTACAAAAGCATTAACCATAGAATGTGATTCTTGTCTTTCACTGACTCATTAGTGACAAATATTTGTTGAGTACCTACCAACTCCTAAGTATTGCTACCAACTCCTAAATACTGTGTTGGGCATTCAGAATAGAATGTAGAACTAGACAGGGTCCCTGACTTCTTGGAGCACAGAGCAGTATGGGAAGAGGACATTAAATAAAGAATTACATAAGTAATTAATTTAAATTATACATGTTTTGAAGAAGTTTTTTTTTGACAACTATAATTAACACTAGAACTGGGAAGTTTCTATAAGGTAAGAGAGGACAAAATAGACACTCTCCTAAGCTAAAATTCCCAAGAAAGACTGTTTATTTTCCCCTAACTAACTAGAACTAGCAACAGAAGATCTGAAAGGAATTCTGGCTTTCAAGTGTTCCATGTATGGACTCATCAGGGAGGTCCGAGAGGCTTTGTGGCCCCAGACTGACTTTTCAGGAGGGGAAAGGATTTATCAATACACAAGACAGGCTCTAAGCATTATTTTGTGCCCTTTAAAAATCCACTTTATGAGCCAAAAAGTGAGTTAATGATAATTCATAGTTTCTGACACATGCTCTATGCGTGGCTCTCTTTTCTCTATTCATTCTCTCTCTCTTCATTTATTGTTAAATAAATAATGTAATGAATGTTCTTCAGACTGGCTGCTCCTTCAGGCCTCTGCTGAGGTGGTGATGGAGGGCCAGCCCCTCTTCCTCAGGTGCCATGGTTGGAGGAACTGGGATGTGTACAAGGTGATCTATTATAAGGATGGTGAAGCTCTCAAGTACTGGTATGAGAACCACAACATCTCCATTACAAATGCCACAGTTGAAGACAGTGGAACCTACTACTGTACGGGCAAAGTGTGGCAGCTGGACTATGAGTCTGAGCCCCTCAACATTACTGTAATAAAAGGTGAGTTGGTAAAGGAAAGGAAAAGCATCCATAGCAGGGGAAGGAAGAGAGAACTTCTGAGCCTGAGCAGTTGCAGCTTGTAGAAGGGGGGCACCTGTGATACACTGGAAAGCCTACCAGACTTGCAATGAGGAGACCTGGGTGATAGTATATATCTCAATCTCTGTTTCAAAGCCTTGACTTGTTAAATGGTGATAGTAATACCTGCTTGCACTATGAAATTTTTATGAAGATTAATGTGGTAATATTTGTGAAATGACTTTGTAAACTGTTAAGCACTACCCAAGCATAACAGATTGTGATTACTATTTTGATCTCAAAGTCATCTGTTGCTCCTGGGGGAACACTTATATTTATCAAATTGAAAAAAAGTTTCAAAGTTGAATGAAGAAAGGATATAAAGAGCTTGAGGAGCCCATTCCAGCTTAGGAGGGCTGGGAAAGGAAACCAGCAAGTCAGTAAGCTGTGTGCCTGTGTATTGAGGGAGGAGGGAATGGACTTGATATGGAGAGGGTAGGGAGGTGGACTGCCTCTATGGCCTGTAAGAAAAACTGCTCTCTCCAAACTCTTTATAAGAGAGGGAGCCTGTGAAGTATTCACTTTTGAAGGAGAAAGTTAGACTTTTCCTTCACACACTTTGTACATAATAATGTTTAAAAAAGCATGAGGTCAAAATACATAATTAAGTCCTAGCAGTTCTCTGTTAACTAATTTGAGACTGAAGTGCTATGTACTTGTCTCTAGGCTTCCAGTATCTTCATCTGTAAAACAGAATATTTGGTCTAGATTCCATTAGAATCATTTGATAACTTAAAAAATATATTGATGCTCATGTCTCATTTCTTGAGATTCTGATTTAATTGGTTTGGGGTGCAGCCTGGGTATACGTATTTTTCATAGGTCTTTCACATAATGGTAATGGGTAGCCAATATTGAGAATCACTTGTCTAGGTGATCTTTAAATGATTTCTGGATGTAATATTCTGAGGCTCTATAATTTGAGACTAATCACAAAAATCGGTACAGTTTATAAACAGACTAACAGAACCACAAAATAATAGAATTGGAAGGCAATTTAACTAGTGCAATTTCTTCATTTTGCCTAACAGGCATGTAAGAAATGATGATTGATTGAGTAATAGGCATTGATGACCCCTGTCCTCACTTTGTCCCCTTTCCACCCCTTAATTATATGTGAATTCTGGTCTTGTCATTTCGAATAAGGGGTTTATCTTTCCTATTGTCTTCCCCTCTGGGCACGGCACACTGGCTACTGGAGTTAAGAGGAAATGCTTAGGACTCCCTGTGGCTCCAGGGAGCACCAACAGAGCAACTCAACCTAGTGTTAATCTGAGTGTTTTCTCTGTGCTTCTGGATGCCACATCACGCTAAAAATGAAGGACAAAGCTTGGTCTTTCTCTTAGGGAGGATGAAACTCTGAACCTCATTTTTCAGTTCCCAAGATGAATTATGTTTCTCATTGCATCTGTGTTCCACTACAGCTCCGCGTGAGAAGTACTGGCTACAATTTTTTATCCCATTGTTGGTGGTGATTCTGTTTGCTGTGGACACAGGATTATTTATCTCAACTCAGCAGCAGGTCACATTTCTCTTGAAGATTAAGAGAACCAGGAAAGGCTTCAGACTTCTGAACCCACATCCTAAGCCAAACCCCAAAAACAACTGATATAATTACTCAAGAAATATTTGCAACATTAGTTTTTTTCCAGCATCAGCAATTGCTACTCAATTGTCAAACACAGCTTGCAATATACATAGAAACGTCTGTGCTCAAGGATTTATAGAAATGCTTCATTAAACTGAGTGAAACTGGTTAAGTGGCATGTAATAGTAAGTGCTCAATTAACATTGGTTGAATAAATGAGAGAATGAATAGATTCATTTATTAGCATTTGTAAAAGAGATGTTCAATTTCAATAAAATAAATATAAAACCATGTAACAGAATGCTTCTGAGTATTCAAGGCTTGCTAGTTTGTTTGTTTGTTTTCTACTAAAGGCAAGGACCATGAAGTTCTAGATTGGAAATGTCCTCTCTTGACTATTGCAAGTGCGATCTAGGAATGAAAAGACATAGGAGGATGCCAGTGAGGTGGATCATTTTTATGCTTCTTCTTCAGCTTACTAAATATGAACTTTCAGTTCTTGGCAGAATCAGGGACAGTCTCAAGACATAGGACTCTCAGGATGAAGTAGAGTCCAGGATTCCTCTGTGATTGTTTTGCCCCTCCCAAATTTATATCTTGAACTTATGTCTTGTATCTTTATACAGCACCTGAACCAAGCATTTTGGAGAAATTCCAGCTAATAATAATAACCAAAACCTTCGGCTCTGAAAACAGTCCAGGACTGAATAAGATCTTGGGCAAAAGAACTAGACAGTTTTGGTTTATTTTCCCTTTCATTTTATGTCTTCATCATAGTCATTGGAGGCTCATTCTTCTGTCATGGAGTAAATGGGATTAAGTTTTTACCTATGATTTATTTTTTAATTTTTTGTAGAGATGAGGTCTTGCTATTTTGCCCAGGCTGATCTCAAACTCTTGGCCTCAAGCGATTCTCCCACCTCAGCCTCACAAAGTGTGGGATTATAGGTTTGAGCCACTGCGCCTGGCCAAGTTTCTGCCTATAATAAAGCCATCCATTAGAAAGAGACTAAACCATACAGAAAAAGACATCAATTCAAATCCTGACTCTTCTACTTTCTAGATTTGTGATCTGGAAAAATTTTCTTATACCTCCATGGGCTTTAGTATTTCATTTGTGAAAAAAAGAAAAGGATAATAGTCATCCTGTCTACCTCTTAGAGTTCTTCTGAGAATCAAATAAGAGGCTGTATTTGAAAGTTCTTTGTAAATTGTAAACATTTATACAAATTTAGGAACTTTTAGCACCTACATGAGATCCAGTCTTTGCCACCACTACCCTCTACCCCCATGATCCTGCCCATAAAAATATTTATACTCAGGGCTTAGAGAAAGCACTAGGGAAGATGGGCAACATATTGCTGGTGCTGGCTGTGGATTCATGGAAATCAGTGAAAGATCAGGATGCCTATAGCTTACCCGTGCCTTAGAACAATTAATAGTATGAGGAAGTGTGGCTGGGGAGAAAACTTTTAAATATCCATGGGACCCACAAGTCCCATTTTTTCCAAGGAATGTTTTTGGGTCACAAAGAACAGGGAAATTACTGAAACATTTCTTTCCTCTTTTTTTAACTTTGGATAGGGATCTGGTATTACCTTTCTTCACACTCTCCTCCACTTAAAAAAAAATCATTTAAAAGAGGCAAGAAAAGGCCAGAATCCCAGTGAACACCCTTGTTACTTAGCTTCATGTAGTGAATAAGTCTGGCCAATGGAGAAAAGATTTCTCTTGGAGCAACAGGCCAGGCAAAGTTTCCCTAGGAGACTCCCTGGTGTTGCTTCAGGATGCTTCCTCTGCCACCTCCCCAAGGTCTATCTTATGTTTTAGCCTTGGGACCAGGCTTTCCACCACATTAACCACACCTTTCTCCCCAGTGCTCTTCACAGCACATCAGCATTTCAGGCATCAGGCTAAACAGCAATTTACCCCTCTATTTCAGACAAGGGATTGAGGCCAGTGATTCAGAGTTCAAAACTGAGAGATTTGATATGGATAGAAAGTCCGGGCTTGATCAGCTTGAGATACATTTTCTGAGAAATTTTCTAGGTTCTTGAGTATCGCATTTCACTTTTATCTCCCCTTTACCCTCACTGCAAGATTGAGGGGACTACGGATAGAACACAGATCTGGATATTCAAGCTGCTAACTAGCTGTGATTGGGCCAAGTTACTTGCCAGCCTCTGAGATTCTATTGTTTCTTTGTTAAAACTGGGAGTCTGGTGGAGGTGATCTCTAAGGTCCCTTGGAGCCCAGATATTTTGTAATTTATTACTTTAAGTTCATATGCAGTAATTATCCAGGCACTAAGGCTCAGAATGCATTCCCCAAGAAGCTCCAGTGTAAAATTTTCCTTTATCCTCCACACATTGGTCTCTTCTTTCACTGTGCTCTTCCGTGTACAGTATCTAAATTCCACATTTGTGCCAGACCTGTCTGGGTTTCTGCCCATTTATTTCTACCCATTTTCTTCTCGATAGTCATACATCTCTTGGTCCAGAGGGAATGTGGAACATAGGGTCAGGGCTTGAGTATTTTGTGGACCCCTAAAATATGGCATTTATGAAGATGGCTTTACACATGAAACATTTTTTATTATGCCAGAGATGGAGTACATGTGTTATAAAGATGATTGGAATAGAAATAATTCACTCTAGATTCACCCTTCTCACCCCCTTTATCACCTCCTGTCTCTTACCAAATTGCTCAAGGCCAGTTCATAGAGAAAAATTTGCTCTCCCATGAATTGCTGTTCCAAATTGGCAGACAAAAAATCTTTATGAATTCACAATAGTTAGGGGCTGATTTCTGAAAAGCAAGTCAGTAGCTCCCCACTGGTGGCCAATGGAAGACATACTCCTGTGACCACCTTCAGAGTGGAGACTCAGACAAATGGTGCACTTTGTCAGTATGTTGAGGAGTTGAGTACTTGAAGAAAGACTCTGATCTTTCCCTCTTCTCATTAAATGGGAAATGGTGACAACCTGGAGATGGAAGTTTTATGCTGAGGATGGCAGAGGCACCTGCCAGCCTAGGACTCTAGATAATCTTAGAGAGTCGGGCTGTCTTCCTGCCATAGCTGATCTGCCCAGCTCTGGACAGCTACTTATCAAGTCCAAGTCTCTTTCTGGAACTTCATCAATCGCTACAACATTCCCACCACAAACCGTTTACTCTATCAATGTGCTCACCACAACAATTCACTTATATATTTCACTTATGACAATGACACTCTTCCCCTTCTTGAAAATTAAATGACATAAGTCCACTTTCAGTCTTTCCTGTTATTTCCAATTTTCAAATATCATTGACAATGGTCAGCAATCTCTCTGCAAGGTAGTAGCATCAGGCTGCGATGAAATGGAAACTGCTCACAGATAATTTTTTGAAAAGAAAAGAATGACTTCCTATGGATTCTGAGAAAAGTTCAGATTTTAATTTTTTAACCAGTTTCCAAGAAGATAATACTGCACTGCTGCCAACCAAATTGAATCATAGTAAATATGGTTGAATAAATAGAAAAAAATTATTTTAAATTAAAATATAAGAGCCACTGATTTGCATTTAGTAGAATATATCAGGGCTGAAAGTTTGATTTCTCCACTTATGTTAATGGCTACTTTAGAAATGAGATCCTAAAATGTTGCAGGTTGAGGTCCCCAGAAAACAGACACTGAGACAGAGATTTGAACAAAGCAAGTTTATTAGCTCTCAGCATGTACACTTGTGAAGAAGTGAAGAAAGCAATATTGGGCAAAAACAAATAAGTTGAAATGTGAGGTAGTCAAGCTCCTTCTGGAGCTGGGAGAGCCCTTCCTACTTATCTTAAGGTGAAGCAATACCCTAAATAGTCAAACCACTGGAGGTAGTATATCCCTGGGAAGGGAGCATGATCTTGGAAGAAGCAACTATTTAACAAGAACAATTCTTGAAGAGGAACTCAACTGAGAGCCATTAGCCCAAGGCACTCCCAGCAGCTGGAGGAATGCTTGTGTGGGTCCTGAAGGAATGCAATCCAGGTGATGTGCTGCAGCATTCACCAAATACAACTTCAGATAGAAGACAGTGTGACATTGGCCAGCAGAACTTTACCTGATGGCTTCTAATTAGATTAAGCAGAACTACTAAGCAAAATCTAATTGTCTCTTGACCAACCTCACAGAAACAAACTATATCATTTCTAGAAATCTGGACACTAAAACAAAGATCTCTTTTATCTCCAGTCAGACTTCACATGACAATTTTTGTCAAAGAAAGACAGGTTAACTTGACTTAAATAATTTATTTCCAATGAATTGTCCCATTTTCAACATCCAGCAGACTTTACCACACTATCAGAAGTGATTTCTTGCCTCTACAGGTTCACCCCATTGGATTGGATGGATTCTGGATACTGTAGGACTGTATTTGAAACTCAGGGTATGCTTATTCCTCAGTATAGAAGGCCAGAGTGCAGTGGAAAGATGAGAGAGAGAACATCCTTCCTTGCACCAGAACACATATTTTCACCTTCTGTGATGCTCGGGCATAAAATGCTGTTTATAAATCAGGTTTAAAGTTGGAAGTATAGAAGAAGAAACTTCTGAAAATTCACCCCTGCAGGCTTAGGAGCTCACTGGAAAATTTTTAAGTCATGCATCAGATTTCTGTTCATTAATAATTCTTTTCAGAAGTTGTAGTTAAAGTGCTTATGTTTATAACACTATTTCAGAGAGTTTTATGTCAACCTGGCAAAAGGAACTATTCTTTTACTGATCCTTTCAACCTCCATCCTTTTTACTCTTGTGTTGAATGTATGAAAAGTGTTAGCCTTTTCAGCATGTTCGTCTTTTCAATCTGAGTTTTCTGATCCAGGCATCTCAGGAATATGGACAGTTCACGTCTGTGTTCTCTGTAGCTGATGCTGCTTTGCTCTTTCCCACATCTGCACTCTTTACTCCTAGGTCAGTTAGAGCAGTTCCATCAACTTGGAAGGTCTGCCTCTAGCTTTTTTTTTTTTTTTTTTTTACAAGAAAGCCTGCAACATCCACAGAAATGCATATGTGTGTGTGTATCTTCTAACTTATTTGCTTAAAATGTGGCACAAATTATTCTGACACCCTTAACAGTCAACTAGAAAATCTTTCTGGGATGGTTTCCAAACATTTTGCTCATTAGCTTTTTAGAACCCTGCTGGACTTTATGTTTCTTTTTTTTTTTTTTTTTTTTTTGAGACCCAGTCTAGCTCTGCCACCCAGGCTGGAGTGCAGTGGCGCAATCTCGGCTCACTGCAACCTCCGCCTCCCAGGTTCACGAGATTCTCCTGCCTCAGCCTCCTGAGTAGCTACAATTAAAGGCATGTGCCACCATGCCCAGCTAATTTTTGCATTTTTAGTAGAGATGGAGTTTCACCACGTTGGTCAAGCTTATCTCGAACTCTTGACCTCATGATCTGCCCACTTCAGCCTCCCAAAGTGCTGGGATTACAGACGTGAGCCACTGCACCTGGCCAGACTTTATGTTTTAATGGAGTTGTATAACTGAAAATATTCTCAAGGTATGTGTAACTGTGTGCATGTGTATGTGAGTGCATAATCCAGGCATGCATTTTTTTCCTACATTCATAAGTGTATGCTAAGCTATTTTCTAACTGTTCTGGAGCAGGGCGTAGAAGATCACAACAACCTCAAACAGAAACCTCCAGTTTTAGCACTCAGTTCAATTTAGTCTAGTCTTCTTGATCCCATACATAAGGGCATTATTGAAAGAGCATTAAAAATTAGTACATATTTATAAACGCAAAGGAAAAGCCTTCACAACCTCTCTTCATTAAGGAGACAGAGTTTTTTGCCCCACGGCTCTGTGCAGAGCATCTTTGACCTCCTTGTTCTTCAGGCTGTACACAACAGGGTTCAGTAGGGGAGTGATGAGTGTAGGTCACTGAGATGAGTCTGTCCTGTCCCAGGGAACTCTGGGACTTAGGCTTCAGGTAGATGATGGAGGCACAGCCATAGTGGATGATGACCACTGTGAGGTGGGAGGCGCAGGTGGCAAAGGCCTTCTTCTGACCTTCAGCTGAGGCAATCTTAAGAATGGTGGAGATGATGAGGACATAGGAGATAAAGACCAGGCCCATAGGTAGAACAAGGACACAGACGCTGACAACAAAGTTGATTATCTCATTGACAGTGGTGTCTGTGCAGGCCAGCTTCAGCAGGTGTCTCACATCACAGAAGAAGTGGGAGATGACAAAGGCATCACAGAATGGCAGGCCAAACACAGATGTTACTTGGACAATGGCCATGCCAAGGCCAATCCCCAGTGATCCAGAGGCCAGTTGGATACAGGCCCTCTTACCCATGATGACTGAATACCTTAGGGGGTTGCAGATGGCCACATAGCGGTCATATCCCATGACTGTGAGCAGGAAGCAGTTGTTGATGCCAAAGGTGAGATAGAAGAAGAGCTGAGTGGCACAGCTTTGGGTGGCAATGGGCTGATGAGGATTCAAGAGACCAGAAAGCATATGGGGAATGATGGCCACAGTGTAGCAGGTCTCAGAGATGGATAGCATGCACAGGAAGAAGTACATGGGGGTGTGAAGATGATGGTCCAGGCGAATAATGGTCATGATAATCACATTGCCAGAGAGAGTCAGCAGGTACAAAGTTAGGAAGACAACAAAGAAGACAAGTTTGTGCTGCCGCCTGAAGCTGGAGAAACCTTCAAAGAGGAACTCAGTCACAAAAGTGGAATTTAGCTTTGGCATCAAGGTAGGTCTAGGTTTGAAAGAGCTGGGCAGAGGAAAGAAACATATGATGAGTTAATCATGAAACAGAGTAGGCTGGACCAAGGCTTTCAGTAAAAAGCATGTCCATCCTCTGAGCAATGCCCTAGACCTGTTGTCTACTTGCTCAGAATAATCACCTGTCCCCACCCTCTTCTTTGGAAGCATAGAAGGCTACCCTGGGACCCTGGGATTGAGAGCAGAGATAGTGATCAGAAGGTGGTAACAAACTGAAAGAGATCTGTAGAAACAACTCCCTGGTTCCTTTTTTTAAAAATTATTATTATATACCTAGAGGTATATGATCCAGAGGTGTGCTTGCTGGATCATATGGAGGTCAGAGGAATATCCATACTGTTTTCCACAGTGGCTACATCATTTTACATTCCCACCCACAGTGCACAAGGGTTCCAATTTCTCAACATCCTCTCCAACACTTGTTATCTTTTGATTATAGATTAAAAATAAATAAATACTAGCCACCCTAACTGTTATGAGGTGATATCACATTGTGGTTATGATTTGCATTTCCCTGATGATTAGTGACACTGACCATATTTTCATATATCTGAATTAAAATCAAAATCTAGAAGAGATGTTTGCATTCCCATGTTCATTACAGCACCATTCACAATAGCCAAATTGTGGAAACAACCCAGGTGTCCACTGGTAGATGAATGAATAAAGAAAATGTGGTATTTACATAGAATGTAATGTTATTAAGCCTTAAAAAAAAAAAAGGAAATCCTGCCCTTTGCAACAACAGGGATGAGCCTGGAGAACATTATTCTAAATGGTATAAGCCAGTCACAGGAGGACAAATACTGCATGATTCCACTTATATGAGGTATTTAAAATAGTCAAAGTCATAGAAGCAGGAAATAGAATGGTGATTACTGGGGAACAAGAAAGGGGAAGTGGGGAGTTGTTGTTCAATTCATGTAAAGTTTCAATTATGCAAGATAATTAGTTCTAGAGAGCTGCTGTACAGCATAATTCTTGTAGTAAACAATATTGTAATATGCACTTAAAATTTTTTAAGATGGTATATCTCATATTAAGTGCCTTACCACAAAACAAAACAAAAAGCAAAGGGACACAAAGAAATGTTTAAAGGTGATAGATATGTTTGTTACCTTAATTATGATGATGGTTTCACAGATGTATGTATATGGCCAAACTCATTAAATTGTACACATTAAATATATGTAGTGTATTATATATCCATTGTACTTCAATAAAGCTGTTTAAAGAAAGAAAGAAACAACTACCTGGCCATTGAAGGAGTGGGCCTAGGTCAAGGAAGAAGCAGGTGATTCATCAAATGTGCCCAGCTCTACAGTTCCTTCTCAATACACTCCTGAATTACTTCTCAAGGATCCAGTGAGGAATAGTGAAGAATAGAAGATGTGAGACTGATTGATATCCTTTTCACACTGTCATCAGTTTCCAATGCCAAATGCCCTGTGAGAGTCCTGAGAATGCTTCTCCTCCCCAGAACCCTAGGTCCTGGTCTTCACTTATCTAAGCCCTGCATCTACAATACTCAGTGACCATCAAAGAGTAGAAAAGGGAACACTTCTACTGATGACTTTTTCTAGAAACCTTGTAATAAATATCACCTAGGATCATAAAAAATGGTTTGATATGGCATTGCAATATTTAGATTGTCTCCTTGAATTTTAATCAAAGGTAGAAAAGACAGCAAAATGAATCTGAGGGTGACTCTTTAAGTAAGGAATAGGTTTTTCTAGTATGAGAGCAAAGATAATATTCACTTAATCAGAGAACGATGAATCGTCCTGTTTTTTTTTTACTTCACTTATGCATATTCCAAGTTATGTTGGGGATACAAATAAGCTGATCCACCTTCCTTTTATCTTACCTCAAGTAGACCCAGCATGAGAGGTTGTACTTGCGCAGATTAACCTCGCTCCTTATACCCACATCTACTCCTGATAATACTCACCATGTTTAACCATCATCTCCATTCAGAAAGCTGAGGACTGTCCTAATCACCACCCTTCCCTTTTCCACACAAAGACATTGCCTCCTGAAATTCTCTCTTCCTGTCCCCTCCACTTCATGCTTTCTACCAACGCCCAACTACTGACTGCCATTACCATCCTCTGTGATCACCACAAGGCCTCCTAACTAATCTGTCTCCTTTTGGTTGATCTTAGTCTAAGTCTTCCTCCTGGATGTTGCCATTACACTTTTTTCAAAAACCTGTTCATGGAGCTGTCCTGCGTAAATTCCTCAATAGCTCCTCGGAATCTTAACCATAATATTTAACTCATTTGTAAGTTGAATATGTTAGTATTTCATAGAGTTGCCATGAAAATTAAATGGCTTACTTGTTTGAAGAGTTTGAAGTAGCATTTGACAAATAGGAAACCCTCAGTAGATACTAGTGTTATTAGAAGTTACAGTTATTTCTTTTTCATTTTCCCCAAATTAGCAAGTTTAAATTTCTAAGAAGATCAGGGGCAGGGGTGGAGGGGCTTCAATCTAATATTTCTGGATTTGTAAACAAGTATGTGATTATCTTAACCTTAACTTTGTAAGTATTATAATTTCCCTTCCAGTTGCTCAAACGGAATTTTTTATGCTCTTTCAAAATCTTTCTTGAAGTGCATTGACCAAATCCATGCACTGCTGCATGTATTATACTAACACAGGTGTGGATTAAGTTGAATATAATTTTCAGTTCTGCCTCTAATCCTCTAATCCCTTTCCTGAAGATGCTCAATATTTTACTTCTCCCTCCGGTCATAGTAGCTCATCCAACTAATATATCTAGAAACAATCTGCAGTGACATCTAGATCCCTTGCCTCGGTTATAATTGAATTGATAGCGTGGAGCCCATCATTGTAAAATCACAGTTTCCTTTACACTTGAATACATTAAAATTAATTCACATTATTTTCATAATGTAATTGTATTTTATTAACCAGAAGATCTTATTCAGGTCTGTGGCCTCGAATATTTGCCTCCCTCTCTTCCAGATAATTATTTAAACTGCTAACACTCCCCCAAAAATGCTATCCCAGCTCCATCTAAGAGAATAATCACTAAAGGGATGCAGAGTGGAATGCGGAAATTTAAAATGTAGGCAAGGATAGGATTACTCATCTAAAGTCTAGGAAATGTAGGTGAGGAGGAAAAACGAGAGATAAAAAAGTAGAGAGGGTACAGATAGACAGAAACCTCAAAATTCAGGTAATGTCTTTGACTTTGGAGTTTGTATTGCCTTTCCTTGCTTTCAAATAAATTACAAAAATGAGAAACAGGCCTTTTCCTGGCCCAATCCTAGATGAGTGTACTGTTTACAATTTTTCCCTGGAGAAGAAAACTTACTTATCCTCTTGTTTCCTGAATTTTTAAAAATCTCCTGTGCATTTTCATTCTATGCATGTACCCAAACATCACATGTACCCTGTAAATATGTACAACTATTATGTATAATTTTTTAAAACGAAATAAGCCAGGCACAGAAATAAAAGTATCATATGTTCTCACTTATATATGAGAGTTTAAAAAGTTGATCTCATGGAGGTAGAGAGGAGAATGGTGGTTACTAGAGGCTGGAAATGGTGAGGTTGTGGATGAAGAGAGGTTGGTTAAAAGGTACAAACATAGTTACAAGGAATCCATTCTGGTGCTTGATAGTATGGGAGGTAACTAGAATTTATTTTATATTTCAAAATTTCTAAAAAAGAAGATTTGAAGTGCTCCCAACACAAAGTAATAATAAATGTTTGAGGTGATGGATATTCTAATTACTTCGATTTTATCATTACACATTGTATTAATATATCAAAAAATCACATGCACCACACAAATATGCAGAATTATATATTAATAAAGCAAACTTTGAAGTCTAAAACAAAAAGTCTCCTGTACATTTCAATTTGCTTAAACTAAAATCGTGCTTGATTTTACCGAGCAAAACAACTTCTTCAAGAGTTCAATGTGTTGGGAAGTCACAAAGTATAAGTACTATGCTAGTGCTAGGAAAATAAAGATGACCCAATTGGTCTTTTTTTCTCATGGAGCTTAGATTCTTGGACAGCCTTTGGTATAGGATCCAATTACAGCCTTCCAAGTACTTTATGGCCCTCTTCTCTAGTCTATTCGTCTACGTTTCCAACATCTTAGAAATCACATTCTTTCTTATTAGAGCCCGTGTTCCCCCTTCTTCCATAGACTATCACTGGCTATGCAATAACAGTATACACTATCATAAACACTCCCCATCCCAGCCGTTAAGCTTCCTTAAAGGTGAGGTTAACGTTAAGCTTCCTTCAGAGTTTCACTTCTGAAACTCACCACATAGCCTGTTTCTTGAGTCTTCTAGAGAGTTGTGCTTATACCTGAATTATATCCTCCACTCTGGAAATTTGACTGCCTGCAATCATAGACTATGGATTTTTTTTTATTACTGATAGTTATACAATGTTTCCCAGATTTTTGTCAATGCCTTTTTTAAGATTATTTAAAACACATCGGTTATTTAACTAACAATCACTTTATGGAACTATGCTATTTTACTGAAGAGTCTATGAATTTCCTTAAGAGAGGGTCACTAATGTCATACTGAGCAGAGCTATAGTTTCTCCCCCTTTGCTGGCTAATCTTTAAATAACGCCAAGAATGTGATAACTAAAGGAACTATTTAGAGAGGAAGGAAATAATGCCTATCTCAGTCTTCCTGTGTCCGACACCAGAAGTGAAGTCACACTAAGTTCCCCTAGATTCTCACAAGCCCATCCACTGGAAGGATTTCATCTTTGGGTCACAAAGCATTAACTTTGGCTTAGGTGTTTTTTAATAAGATAAAAATTGTCTGTCCCCAGTGTTAGATGTCTCCATCTCCAAAACAACACTTACTACTCCCAAGTGATAATGGCAGAAGACACAATCCAAACAGCAGAGCATCTGGAGACCTCATTACTAAGGCAGCACATTTTCTAATCCTGAAAATAACACTTTGGAGAACAGAGTTGGCTTGGCTATTAGGGACAATCTCTGGGATGAAAAGGCTTATTTCCCTTATTAGCATGGGTAATAGTCCTGCTGAAATCCATGTCAGATTTTCTGTCCATTTCTTTGGAGGCCTTATGGAGTAACCCTTCACACATGAGAGAATAGAAGCGACAATTATCAAGCAGGGTTTATGCATGGAGCCCTCATACAGAGGGCTGACCTTCAGATACTCTGACACTTGAAGCAGTTTAAAGTCTCTTGAAAGAATCATCAGCACTGTTCCTGAATTCTATTGTCTGAGCTTTCATACTTTTTTTTTTTAAGGTTTTAAGGAACTGCCAGACTGTTTCCTAAAGTGGCTGAGGATTTAGCCTTCCCACCAGCAATGTTATGAGTGTTCTAATTTCTCGACATACTTGCTAACACTTATTTTCTGGTGTTTTTTTTTTTTTAATTATAGCCATCCCAGTAGGTGTGAAGTGGTATCTCACTGTGGTTTTGATTTATTTCCCTAATGACTAATGATGTTGAGCATCCTTTTATGTTCTTATTGCCCATTTGTATATCTGCTTTGGAGAAATATCTGTTCAGATTCTTTGCCCATTTTTAAATGCAGTTATCTTTTTATTCTTTTATGAGTTGTTTAAATATATTTTGGATACTAGATCCTGATCAGAGATAAGATTTACAAATATTTCATTCCCATTCTCTGAGTTGTCTTCTCACTTTTAAACTGATCTTTCTCATCTCTGCACTTCTTGCCACACACCCTATATTTATTTTGGAGCCCTCAGCTCAGTTTGTCCGAAGGCCTCAGCCTTGCCAGGGAACCTTCTGCATATTAAATCCATCTCATTATCCATAGCCCAAATAGATGGGAATAAGTGTCTATAGTTGAAAGATATGTAAAAGTTGGCACTCAATTGTCACAGATTTTTAACCAATTATTTCTTTGCATTGGTCTTAGATTGCTAATTGTCAGCTCCTTAGAAATAGAGACTCTTTGTCATCCATCTTTTTTTTCTCAGCAAACCTAGAGCTGCTACTTCTAAAAAAATTCCTATTACATGCTCTTTATTATATGCTAGGTACTAAACTATGCAATGCACACACATTAACTCATTTAATCCTAACAATGAACCTACAAGATAGCACAATTGTACTGTTTTTTTTTTTTTTAGGAGAAAACAGACACAGAGTTGTTATATAATTTCCCGTAGGACACTGAGCTGATAAATGGGAAACTAGGACTTAAACAAAGGAAATCCAGCCTCATAAGCTGGCCTATATTGGTAATATTGAATTTAATTTGAATTTGTGTTCAGTGGTGGTACTGCTAATGGTAGCAACCTAAAAAGACATCTTGGTAATGGTGAATAAAGCATTAGATTAATGATTTGGTTTACCCAGGTTTTAGTTCCATAGTTGTGACTAACTTGTCAAGTATTTAGACTGACATGTATCTGGGCCTTGGTGTGTTCATCTATAAGTGATGACATAATAATGTAGTAGTGGTGATGCTGCTGCTGATGATTTTGCCTCCTATTCTGCATCCGTCACCTTGTTTTATGTTACCTCACAATAACATGATAAAGTGGACATATACATCCACACTATTATCTCTATTTTAAAAATGAAGAAACTGAAAACAAGCGACAGAACTGGAATAAGTGACTCCTTACCAGGATTCTTTTCACCCTGCCACTATTCATACACAAAATTGAAGGATAGAATTAGTTCTCCTACACCTCTAGAATGATGCTATAGTGACCATACTATATGGATATAGCTACTAAGTCAGTGAATAATTGAGGAGCCAAGATTCTAGAAAGAAAGAATATGCAGAAATGTTAGCTCGAATCTCACTTCTTTGCAGTTTCCTTGAGGAATTGTAATTTGTTGTTTGTAGTCTTTGGTCAAAAAAACTAATAAACTGAGAAGAGTATCTGGAAATTTCCATATGCTTAAGGGTTATATTCTCTGTGAAAGGGTAAAGTGGAAATAAATGAACCCTTCACAGAGACTAAAACTTCAAATTAATTTAATTTCTAGTTAGATTAATATGATCTTGCCCCTAGTCTAATTACCTGTCGAGAAGCAAAATAAAATATTCTCTAGAGGAAGATAATATAATCTAGAGTACCAATTTGTCTTTATATTTTTTTTCATATAGTACTGGAGTAGGAAAACTACAGCCCATCAGCCCACTACATGTTTTTGCATAGCCTGCAAGGGGTATACTAGTTTTTACAATTTTAAATAATTGAAAACAAATTTAAAAAATACTTTGTGACATGTGAAAGCTATGTAAAATTCAAATATAGTAAGCACACACAAAAACCCCAAAATTTTTTGAACCACAACCCCACTCATTCACTTATGTATAATCTATGGCTTCTTTTGTGCTACTATAGCAGAATTTAATAGTTGGAACAGGGACTTATGTATGATCCACAAACCCTAAATTATTAATTACTTGGCCCTTTTCAGGAAAGTGTGAGGATTTCTGATAGAGAGTGTCCAAGATGTAATAAAAATGCACCAGACATACCAGGATAAAAAACCAAAGATCTAAGACTCAACAAATTAAAAAAAAAAACTCAATACAAACAAACCCATAAAATAATCATATTAAAGTTACAAAATACAAATTTAAGATAAATATGACTGTGGCAGACACATTCTAAGGTGACCCATAATGAGTCACACCCATGTATTCCCTTCATTTGAGTGTGGACAGAACTGTGACTTGCCTCTGTTCAATAGAATATGCCAAAGACAATGATATGTCTCACTCCCATGCTTATATAACATTATATAAGAATTTATCATAACAGAATGGAGCAAGAATACTAACTTGCTGACTTTAAAGAATTAAGTGGCCATGTTTTAAGATAACTTGTAACAGGGTGGTGTAGCAAGGAATATATGCAACTTCTAAGAACTAACAGTTTCAGCTGAAAGCCAATTCTGCCAACAACTACATGAGTTTGGAAGTGGATGCCAAACTCCATGAAGGAATACAGCTCTGCTGATGCTGATTGCAGGTGTGTGAGATCCTGAGCAGAGAACCCAGCTAAGCCATGCCTAGAACACCTGTCCAATGGAAATTTTGTGGCATTTTAAGCTACTAAACATGCTAATTTGTTATGCAGCAATAAAAACTACTATAATGATTATTATGCTGAAAAAATAATGTAAGACAAATTTTCAAATCACAGCAGAGAATGAGAAATATTATTTAAAAATAAAGTGAAAACACTAGAAGTATAAAATATAATAAGAGAAACTAAGAACTTAATAGATGTTATAACACCACATTAGAAATAACTGGAGATAAAATCAGTGAATTGGAAGATGTGTCAGTAAAAAATACCTAGATTGAAGCACAGGGAAAAAAAAGTAGTGCAATATGTATAAAAGAGCGTAAGAAGCATATAGAACCCCAGGAAAAGGTCTAGCATATGTGTAATTAGACTACCAGATTAATAGGAGAGATAGAATGTATCAGAAGCAATATACGAAGAAACAGTGGCCATGAATTTTTCAAACTTGAGGAAATCATTAAGACACAAATTCAAGAATCATCCTGAGTTGCCTACCAACAGGATAAATACATATTCAATGATACATAAAATTCATGTAGGCATATCAAATAAAACAACAGAAAAAAGAAAGATAGAAAGAAAAAGCCTTAAAAGGAGTTAGAGTAAAAGGACACGTTATTTTCAAGGACTAACTGTAAGGCTAATAATTGACCCATTAACAGCAGGAAAACAGAAATTAATGGAATGACATTTTTAACATACTGAAAGAAAACAACTACCAAGCTAGAATTCTATAATCAGGGAAAATATCCTTTCAAAAGGGAGACAAAAACAATAAGAGTTTTAGATATGCAAAAAAAAAAAAAAAAAAAAAGAGAGAGAGAGAGAATTTGTCACCAGCAAACCTGAATTAAAAGAAACATGAAGTTCACGAAAATCCACTGTTCTGCAGCCACTGCTGCTGATACCCAGGCAAACAGGGTCTGGAGTGGACCTCTAGCAAACTCCAACAGACCTGCAGCTGAGGGTTCTATCTGTTAGAAGGAAAACTAACAAACAGAAAGGACATCCACACCAAAAACCATCTGTATGGCACCATCATCAAAGATCAAAAGTAGATAAAACCACAAAGATGGGGAAAAAACAGAGCGGAAAAACTGGAAACTCTAAAAAGCAGAGCGCCTCTCCTCCTCCAAAGGAAAGCAGTTCCTCACCAGCAACGGAACAAAGCTGGACGGAGAATGACTTTGACGAGTTGAGAGAA
The DNA here is from genome assembly GCF_000001405.40 of Homo sapiens. Classification (NCBI taxonomy): domain Eukaryota; kingdom Metazoa; phylum Chordata; class Mammalia; order Primates; family Hominidae; genus Homo; species Homo sapiens. Next base: position 75,805 of record NW_025791759.1, read on the forward strand.
GAAGGCTTCAGACAATCAAACTGCTCCGAGCTACAGGAGGAAATTCAAACCAATGGCAAAGAAGTTAAAAACTTTGAAAAAAAATTTAGACAAATATATAGCTAGAATAACCAATGTAGAGAAGTGCTTAAAGGAGCTGATGGAGCTGAAAGCCAAGGCTTGAGAACTATGTGAAGAATGCAGAAACCTCAGGAGCTGATGCGATCAACTGGAAGAAAGGATATCAGTGATAGAAGATGAAATGAATGAAATGAAGCGAGAAGGGAAGTTTAGAGAAAAAAGAATAAAAAGAAATGAACAGAGCCTCCAAGAAATATGGGACTATGTGAAAAGACCGAATCTACATCTGATTGGTGTACCTGAAAGTGACAGGGAGAATGGAACCAAGTTGGAAAACACTCTGCAGGATATTATCCAGGAGACCTTCCCCAATTTAGCAAGGCAGGCCAACATTCAGATTCAGGAAATACAGAGAACACCACAAAGATACTCCTCGAGAAGAGCAACTCCAAGACACATAAGTGTCAGATTCACCAAAGTTGAAATGAAGGAAAAAATGTTAAGGGCAGCCAGAGAGAAAGGTCGGGTTACCCACAAAGGGAAGCCCATCAGACTAATAGCAGATCTCTCAGCAGAAACTCTACAAGCCAGAAGAGAGTGGGGGCCAATATTCAACATTCTTAAAGAAAAGAATTTTCAACCCAGAATTTCATATCCAGCCAAACTCAGCTTCACAAGTGAAGGAGAAATAAAATCCTTTATAGACAAGCAAATGCTGAGAGATTTTGTCACCACCAGGCCTGGCCTAGAAGAGCTCCTGAAGGAAGCACTAAACATGGAAAGGAACAGCCAGTACCAGCCACTGCAAAAACATGCCAAATTGTAAAGACCATTGAGGCTAGGAAGAAACTGCATCAACTAACGAACAAAATAACCAGCTAACATCATAATGACAGGATCAAATTCACACATAACAATATTAACTTTAAATGTAAATGGGCTAAATGCTCCAATTAAAAGACACAGACTGGCAAATTGGATAAAGTGTCAAGACCCATCAGTGTGCTGTATTCAGGAAATCCATCTAACGTGCAGAGACACACATAGGCTCAAAATAAAGGGATGCAGGAAGATCTACTAAGCAAGTAGAAAACAAAAAAAGACAGGGGTTGCAATCCTAGTCTCTGATAAAACAGATTTTAAACCAACAAAGATCAAAAGAGACAAAGAAGGCCATTACATAATGGTAAAGGGATCAATTCAACAAGAAGAGCTAACTATCCCAAATATATATGCACCCAATACAGGAGCACCCAGATTCATAAAGCAAGTCCTGAGTGACCTACAAAGACACTTAGACTCCCACACAATAATAATGGGAGACTTTAACACCCCACTGTCAACATTAGACAGATCAACGAGACAGAAAGTTAACAAGGATACCCAGGAGTTGAACTCAGCTCTGCACCGAGTGGACCTAATAGACACCTACAGAACTCTCCACCCCAAATCAACAGAATATACATTTGTTTCAGCACCACACCACACCTATTCTAAAATTGACCACATAGTTGGAAGTAAAGCTCTCCTCAGCAAATGTAAAAGAAAGGAAATTATAACAAACTATCTCTCGGACCACAGTGCAATCAAACTACAACTCAGGATTAAGAATCTCACTCAAAACTGCTCAACTACATGGAAACTGAACAACCTGCTCCTGAATGACTACTGGGTACATAACGAAATGAAGGCAGAAATAAAGATGTTCTTTGAAACCAATGAGAACGAAGACACAACGTACCAGAATCTCTGGGACACTTTTAAAGCAGTGTGTAGAGGGAAATTTATAGCACTAAATGCCCACAAGAGAAAGCAGGAAAGATCCAAAATTGACACCCTAACATCACAATTAAAAGAACTAGAAAAGCAAGAGCAAACACTTCAAAAGCTAGCAGAAGGCAAGAAATAACTAAAATCAGAGCAGAACTGAAGGAAATAGAGACACAAAAAACCCTTCAAAAATTAATGAGTCCAGGAGCTGGTTTTTTGAAATGATCAACAAAATCGATAGACCTCTAGCAAGACTAATGAAGAAGAAAAGAGAGAAGAATCAAATAGATGCAATAAAAAAATGATAAAGGGGATATCACCACCGATCCCACAGAAATACAAACTACCATCAGAGAATACTACAAACACCTCTATGCAAATAAACTAGAAAATCTAGAAGAAATGGATAAATTCCTCAACACATACACCCTCCCAAGACTAAACCAGGAAGAAGTTGAATCTCTGAATAGACCAATAACAGGCTCTGAAATTGTGGCAATTATCAATAGCTTACCAACCAAAAAGAGTCCAGGACCAGATGGATTCACAGCCGAATTCTACCAGAGGTACAAGGGGAACTGGTACCATTTCTTCTGAAACTATTCCAATCAATAGAAAAAGAGGGAATCCTCTCTAACTCATTTTATGAGGCCAGCATCATCCTGATACCAAAGCCTGGCAGAGACACAACCAAAAAAGAGAATTTTAGACCAATATCCTTGATGAACATTGATGCAAAAATCCTCAATAAAATACTGGCAAACCGAATCCAGCAGCACATCAAAAAGCTTATCCACCATGATCAAGTGGGCTTCATCCCTGGGATGCAAGGCTGGTTCAATATATGCAAATCAATAAATGTAATCCAGCATATAAACAGAACCAAAGACAAAAACCACATGATTATCTCAATAGATGCAGAAAAGGCCTTTGACAAAATTCAACAACCCTTCATGCTAAAAACTCTCAATAAATTAGGTATTGATGGGATGTATCTCAAAATAATAAGAGCTATCTATGACAAACACACAGCCAATATCATACTGAATGGACAAAAACTGGAAGCATTCCCTTTGAAAACGGGCACAAGACAGAGATTCCCTCTTGCACCACTCCTATTCAACATAGTGTTGGAAGTTCTGGCCAGGGCAATTAGGCAGAAGAAGGAAATAAAGGGTATTCGATTAGGAAAAGAGGAAGTCAAATTGTCCCTGTTTGCAGATTACATGATTGTATATCTAGAAAACCCCATTGTCTCAGCCCAAAATCTCCTTAAGCTGATAAGCAACTTCAGCAAAGTCTCAGGATACAAAATCAATGTACAAAAATCACAAGCATTCTTATACAACAATAACAGACAAACAGAGAGCCAAATCATGAGTGAACTCCCATTCACAATTGCTTCAAAGAGAATAAATTACCTAGGAGTCCAACTTACAAGGGATGTGAAGGACCTCTTCAAGAAGAACTACAAACCACTGCTCAATGAGATAAAAGAGGATACAAATGGAAGAACATTCCATGCTCATAGGTTGGAAGAATCAATATCATGAAAATGGCCATACTGCCCAAGGTAATTTATAGATTCAATGCCATCCCCATCAAGCTACCAATGACTTTCTTCACAGAATTGGAAAAAACTACTTTAAAGTTCATATGGAACCAAAAAAGAGCCCGCATCGCCAAGTCAATCCTAAGCCAAAAGAACAACGCTGGAGGCATCACACTATCTGACTTCAAACTATACTACAAGGCTACAGTAACCAAAACAGCATGGTACTGGTACCAAAACAGAGATATAGATCAATGGAACAGAACAGAGCCCTCAGAAATAATACTGCATATCTACAACTATCTGATCTTTGACAAACTTGACAAAAACAAGCAATGGGGAAAGGATTCCCTGTTTAATAAATGGTGCTGGGAAAACTGGCTAGCCATATGTAGAAAGCTGAAACTGGACCCTTTCCTTACACCTTATACAAAAATTAATTCAAGATGGATTAAAGACTTAAATGTTAGACCTAAAACCATAAAAACCCCAGAAGAAAACCTAGGCAATACCATTGAGGACATAGGCATTGGCAAAGACTTCATGTCTAAAACACCAAAAGCAATGGCAACAAAAGCCAAAATTGACAAATGGGATCTAATTAAACTAAAGAGCTTCTGCACAGCAAAAGAAACTACCGTCAGAGTGAACAGGCAGCCTACAAAATGTGAGAAAATTTTGCAACCTACTCATCTGACAAAGGGCTAATATCCAGAATCTATAATGAACTCAAACAAATTTACAGGAAAAAAACAAACAACCCCATCAAAAAGTGGGCAAAAGACATGAACAGACACTTCTCAGAAGAAGACATTTATGCAGCCATAAAACACATGAAAAAATGCTCATCATCATTGGCCATCAGAGAAATGCAAATCAAAACCACAATGAGATACCATCTCACACCAGTTAGAATGGCGGTCATTAAAAAGTCAGGAAACAACAGGTGCTGTAGAGCATGTGGAGAAATAGGAACATTTTTACACTGTTGGTGGGACTGTAAACTAGTTCAACCATTGTGGAAGTCAGTGTGGTGATTCCTCAGGGATCCAGAAATAGAAATACCATTTGACCCAGCCATCCCATTACTTTGAATTGAAAAGGAGGGACTCCCCTTGAACTCATTTTATGAGGCCAGGGTCATCCTGATACCAAAACCTGGCAGAAATACTACAAAAAAATAAAACTTCAGGCCAATATCCCTGATGAACATTGAGGCAAAAATCCTTAATAAAATACTGGAAAACTGAATCAGCAGCACATCAAAAAGCTTATTCAGCATGATAACGTTGCCCTCATCTCTAGGATGCCAGGCTTGTTCAGCATATGCAAATCAATAAATGTAATTTGTTTATATGAAACAGGACTAAGGACAAAAACCACACAATTATCTCAATAGCTGCAGAAAAGGGCTTCAATAAAATTCAACATCCCTTCATGTTAAAAACTCTCAATAAACTAGGTATTGATGGAACATACCTCAAAATAATCAGACACATTTATGAAAAACCCACAGCCAATATCATACTGAAGGGGCACAAGCTGGAAGCATTCCCCTTGAAAGCCAGCACAAGATGAGGATGCCCTCTCCCATCACTCCTATTTAACATATTATTGGAAGTTCTGGCCAGGGTGAAGTGGAGGACCTCTTCAAGGAGAACTACAAACCACTGTTCAACGAAATCAGAGAGGACACAAACAAATGGCAAAACATTCCATGCTCATGGATAGGAAGAATCAATATTGTAAAAATGGCCACACTTCCCAAGGTGATTTATAGATTCAGTCCTATTCCCATTAAATTACCATTGCAATTCTTCACAAAATTAAAAAAAAATACTTTAAAATCCATATGAAACAAAAAAAGAGCCCGTATAGCCAAGACAATCCTAAGCAAGAACAAACCTGGAGGCATCACACTACCTGACTTCAAATCATACTACAAGGCTACAGTAACCAAAACAGCATGGTATTGGTACAAAAACAGACACATGGACCAATGGAACAGATAAGAGAACTCAGAAATTAGACTACACATCTACAACCATCTGATCTTCAACAAACCTGACAAAAACAAACAATGGGGAAAGGATTCCCTGTTTAATAAATCGGTCTGGGACAACTGGCTAGCCATATGCAGAAAACTGAAACTGGACTCCTTCCTTACACCTTGTACAAAAATTAACTCAATATGGCTTAAAGACTTAAATGTAAATCCCAAAATTATAAAAACCCTAGAAGAAAAGCTAAGCAATACCATTCAGGACATAGGCATGGGCAATAATTTCATGATGAAAACATCAAAAGTAATTTCAATAAAAGCAAAAATTGACAAATGGGATCTGATTAAACTAAAGAGCTTCTGCACAACAAAAGAAACTATCATCAGAGTGAACAGACAACCTACAGAATGGGGGGAAGTTTTCGCAATCTATCCACTGACAAAGTTCTAATATTCAGAATCTACAAGGAACTTAAACAAATTTACAAGAAAGAAACCAAACAACCCCATTAAAAAGTGGGCAAAGGACATGAACAGACACTTCTCAAAAGAAGACATTTATGTGGACTATAAACATATGAAAAAAAGCTCAACATCACTGATCATTAGAGAAATGCAAATCAAAACCACAATGAGATGCCATCTCACATCAGTCAGAATGGCGATTATTAAAAATTAAAACAGCCTGGGCATGGTGGCTCACGCCTGTAATCCCAGCACTTTGGGAGGCTGAGGCGGGTGGATCACCTAAGGTCAGGAGTTTGAGACCAGCCTGGCCAACATGGTGAAACCCTCTCTCTACTAAAACTACAAAAAAATTAGCCAGGCGTGGTGGTGGGTGCCTGTAATCCCAGCCACTTGGGAGGCTGAGGCAGGAGAATCGCTTGAACCCAGGAAGTGGAGGTTGCAGTGAGCCAAGACCATGCCATTGCACTCCAGCCTGGGCAACAAGAACGAAACTCCATCCCCCCAATCTACCCCCCACCAAAAAAGTCAAGAAACAACAGATGCTGGCAAGGGTGTGGAGAAATAAGAATGCTTTTATACTGCTGGTGGGAATGTAAATTAGTTCAAATATTGTGGAAGACAGTGTGGCAATTCTTCAAAGACCTAGAACCAGAAATACCGTTTGACCCAGCAATCCCATTACTGAATATATACCCCAAAGAATATAAATCATTCTATTATATAATCAGTCATGCACACATGTGTTTATTGCAGCACTATTCACAATAGCAAACACATGAAATTAACCCAAATGTCTATCAGTGATAGACTGGATAAAGAAAATGTGGTACATATACACCATGGAATACTCTGCAGCCATAAAAAGGAATGAGATCATGTCTTCTGCAGGGATATGGATGGAGCTGAAAGCCACTCTCCTTGCAAACTAACACAAGAACAGAAAACCAAACACTGCATGTTCTCACTTACTAGCTGAACAATGAGAATACATGGGCACAGGGAGGGGAAAAACACACACTGTGGCCTGTTGGGAGGTAGGGTGTCAGGTGAGGGAGAGCATCAGGAAGAATAGCTAACGCATACTAGACTTAATACCTAGGTGATGGGTTGATAGTGCAGCAAATCACCATGGCACCTGTTTACCTATGTAACAGACCTGTACATCCTACACATGTATCCTGAAATTTAAATAAAATAAAATAAAATAAAATTTAAAAATACCAAAGAATGGAAAAATATATCATGTGAGTACTAAGCAAAAGAAGACTAATGTTTTATGTTAAAATAAGGCAAAAAGATAAAAATGTATTTAGGCTTATTTTGTGGCCTGACATATGGTATTGCTTGGAGAATATTCAAAAAATACTTGAAAAGAGAATGTATTCTCTCTTTTCTTAATGGAGTCTTTCATAAGTATCAAATCTGGATGGTTTGTAGTGTTTGTTCAAGTTTTCTATATCCTTACAGATTTTTCTTGTTCTACAAATTACTGAAATAGAATCACTGAAATCTTTCATTGTTGACTTGTCTATTTCTCCTTCCAAATCTATATTTTTTTTGCTTCAGGAATTTGAGGATCTGTTCTCAGGTGTATATACACATATAATTGTGTATTTTTCCAACATATTGACTCTTTTATCACATCAAAATATATTTCTTTGTCTTTTTTTTTCAAAAAAACATAAATCTTTACTAAAATTATCAAGCATTGTCACAATGGTAATTGCCCTTGGCTAGTACTTAACCACACTTTTGTTTTTATTTCTTTTTTTATTATTATTATACTTTAAGTTCTAGGGTACATGTGCACAACGTGCAGGTTTGTTACATATGTACACATGTGCCATGTTGATGTGCTGCACATCACACATGTACTGCACACTCGTCATGTACATTAGTTATATCTCCTAATGCTGTCCCTCCCCCCTCCCCTCACTCCATGACAGGCCCTGGTGTGTGGTGTTCCCCACCCTGGGTCCAAGTGTTCTCAATGTTCAATTCCCACCTGTAAGTGAGAACATGCGGTGTTTGGTTTTCTGTCCTTGCGATAGTTTGCTGAGAATGATGGTTTCCAGCTTCATCCATGTCCCTACAAAGGACATGAACTCATCCTTTTTTATGGCTGCATAGTATTCCATGGTGTATATGTGTCACATTTTCTTAATCCAGTCTATCATTGATGGACATTTGGGTTGGTTCCAAGTCTTTGCTATTGTGAATAGCACCACAATAGACATACATGTGCATGTGTCTTTATAGCAGCATGATTTCTAATCCTTTGGGTATATACCCAGTAATGGGATGGCTGGGTCAAATGGTATTCCTAGTTCTAGATCCCTGAGGAATTGCCACACTGTCTTCCACAATGGTTGAGCTAGTTTACAGTCCCACCAGCAGTGTAAAAGTGTTCCTATTTCTCCACATCCTCTCCAGCACCTGTTGTTTCCTGACTTTTTAATGATCGCCATTCTAACTGGTGTGAGATGGTATCTCATTGTGGCTTTGATTTTTTTTTTTTTGAAATGGAGTGTGTCTCTCTGTTGCCCAGGCTGGAGTGCAGTGGCGTGATCTCCCCTCACTGCAACCTCTACCTCCTAGGTTCAAGGGGTTCTCCTGCCTCAGCCTCCTGAATAGCTGGGACTACAGGTGCCCACCACCACCCCCAGCTAATTTATATATTTTTAGCAGAGATTGGGTTTCACCATGTTGGCCAAGCTGGTCTCAAACTCCTGACCTCAAGTGATCCTTCCACCTCGGCCTCCCAAAGTGCTGGGATTATAGGCATGAGCCACTGCACCCAGCCTTATTTCTTTGTTTTGTAATATTCCATGTCTGAAAAGTCTATTTTTGTTTGATGTTAATACAGTTGACCCTTGAACAATGCAAGGGGTAGGGGCATCAACCCCCGCACAGTCAAAAATTTGAGTATAACTTTTGACTTACCCAAAACTTAACTGCTAATAGCCTAGTGTGGACCGGAAGCTTTACCAATAACATAAACAGTTGATTAACACATATTTTGGATGTTATATGTATTATATACTATATTTTCACAACAGAGTAAGCTAGAAAAAAGACAATATTAAGAAAATCATAAGGAAGAGAAAATATATTTATTATTTATTAAGTGGAAGTGGATTATCATTAAGGTCTTCACCTTTGTCTTCATGTTGATTAGGCTGAGGAAGAGAGGAGGGATTGGTCTTGCTGTCTCAGGAGTGGCAGAGGCAAAAGAGGTGAATGAAGTAGAAGGAAAGGCAAGAGAGACAGGCACACACTGTAACTTAACATAAATACATTGTAATTTCCCTCTGAATCTTCCACTTTATTTCTGTAAAAATGTTTTTATATGGTATCAATTCTTCTTCCACCTTTGCTTTAATTTCAAGGCTCCTGTTATCCATGTTGCAAAAAAAAAAAAAAAAAAAAGCAATCTTGAATCATCAGAACCCTTCTGCCAGATTGTCTAATGTCAATATGTTTTCCGGCACTAATTCCTCTACATCTTTTTCTACATCTTCTTCCTCACTGTCTGGCACTGGTTCGGAAACACTCATCTCCATTAAGTCATCTTCTTAATGGAAGACATTAATTCTGTTAATTCCTCTGATATAATGTCTATTATTTCTTGAATTTCTCCGAGATCCATATCTTGAAACCCTTCACCCTCTACCTTTTTAGTTTTTCCATATCCATAATCCCTTTCATGATTTTCTTGATTGGCTCTGTCATAAATCGTGTGAAGTCATGCACATCATCTGGACACAATTTTCTCCTGCAGAAATTTATTGTTTCAGTCTTGATGTGCTTTCATGGCTTTTTCTATAACAATGATGGTATCTTCGATGGTATAAGCCTTCCAGACTTTCATGATGTACTCTATATTGTGGTTCTCTCCCACAGCATTGAAAATCTTTTTCATAGAGCACTGCATGCAGTGAGCCTTAAATGTTCTTATGATCCCCTGATCTAGAGGCTAGAGGCTGAATTAGAGATGTTGTATTTGGGTGCAAGTTGACCACTTCTATGCCTTTTGTGTTGAACTCATGGCATTCTGGGTGGCAATGGAACTTGTCCAATATCAAAGAATTTCAAAAGGCAGTTCTTTACTGGCAAGGTACTTACTGACTTCAGAGACAAAGCATCAATAGAACCAATCCAGAAAAAGGGTTCTCATCCAGACATTCTTGTTATACAATCCAATGACTGGCAGCTGGTATTTATTTTTTCCCCAAGTCTCAGAAGCTAGCAAGCTTTATAGATAAAGGCAGTCTTGATTATAAACTCGACTGCATCTGCACAAAAAATTAGAGTATGCCCATTTCTTCCTGCCGTAAAACCTGGTGTTCACTTCTCTTTCTTACTAATAAATATAATTTGTGACCTTTTTTCAGAATAGGGTACTTTTGTTTATATTAAAAACATCTTCAGGAAGATATCCTTTCTACTCAATAATTTCCTTAACGGGATCTGGGAAATTGCTGCCTCTTTGTTGGCAGAAGGTGCTTTTCCTATTGTCTTGACATTTTTTAAGCAGAATGTCTTTTTTTCAGAAAGAGTCTCGCTCTGTCGCCAGGCCGGAGTACAGTGGCATGATCTCGGCTCACTGTCACCTCCGCCTCCTGGGTTCAAGCGATTCTCGTGCCTCAGCCTCCCGAGTAGCTGGGATTACAGGCACTCACCACCACGCCCAGCTAATTTTTGTATTTTTAGTAGAGACGGGGTTTCAACATGTTGGCCAGGATGGTCTCGATCTCCTGGCCTTGTGATCCACCTGCCTCCTCCTCCCAAAGTGCTGGGATTATATGTGTGAGCCACTGCGCCTGGCCCCAAACTTCTTTCTAAAAGTATCATACCATCCTTTGCTGGCATTAAATTCTTCAGCTTTAGATCTTCACCTTCCTTTTACTTTAAGTTGTCATATAATGACTTTGCTTTTTCTCAAATCGTATTAGAATTCATAGGTATGCCTTGATTATAATAGCAAATCCTGCCATTTCATAAAAGCTGCATTTTCAATATGAGATTAAAAAATATTTTATGAAATGTGCAAGATTTTCACACCTGCTGGTGCAGCTGTAGTGGTGGTTTCACTAATTTCCTTTTCTTACAACGTTCCTTACACTGGATTCATTTATCTCAAAATGGTGGCCAACCACAGTTGCAGACCTCAATCTATGGTACACAGCAAACAGTTCAACTTTTTCTTGTAATGCAGTGGCTTTTCTTTGTTTCTTAGAGCACACTTAGCGTTACTAGTGTCACTTGTCCCATGATTAACTATGTTACCCTAAATATGATGAAAAATACATAAGAACCATGAGAGTTTACTCTTTACTGTGTTACACAGTTTACTGGAGAAATGAACTGCTCACATGGAGATGATCAGTGTCACAGGGCAGTTTAAGCAGATACTTGGAACACTTGAGCTCACCACAAAAGCAACAGGAGGTGGCTGTGAAATTATTACAATAGTATGGTAGGTACTATGGTTAATTTTATACAGTTATGATTTAATACTGCCTATTTTCATTTGCTTATATTTCTTTCAACTGCAAATGGTGGTTTGTGTGCATAAGTTTTGGTGCATTTTAACCTTTCATAATAGGTTCATGTATATTTTACGGTAGTAAATGATAAACTAGCATTTACATATGTTTTATGCATTGATGACATAATTAACTTTTTCTTAATTATTTTGATATTTGTAGGCCACATGGTTGGTCTGCTTTATCAGGTTGCCACAAATCTGCAAATAATTTTACAATAAAAATTTACAATGTTTTTATTGGAATACAGAAAAAAATCCATGTATAAGTGGATCCACAGTGTTTAAACCCATTTTGTTCACATGTAAACTGAATAGCCACTTCAGCTCTCTTATGCTTACTGTTTGTATGATTTATTTATTTACAACCTTTCACTGTAAAAGTATTTATGTCGGCCGGGCGCGGTGGCTCAAGCCTGTAATCCCAGCACTTTGGGAGACAGAGGCGGGCGGATTATGAGGTCAGGAGATTGAGACCATCCTGGCTAACACAGTGAAACCCCGCCTCTACTAAAAATACAAAAAATTAGCCGGGCGTGGTGGCGGGCACCTGTAGTCCCAGCTACTCGGGAGGCTGAGGCAGGAGAGTGGCGTGAACCCAGGAGGCGGAGCTTGCAGTGAGCCGAGATCGCGCCACTGCGCTCCAGCCTGGGCGACAGAGCGAGACTCCATCTCAAAAAAAAAAAAAGTATTTATGTCTTTGATTCTAAAGTATATCTCTTATAGACAAAATATAGCCAGATCATGTTGTTTTATAAATCCAATCTGGTAATCTCTCTCTTTTAATTGGACCATTTAGTCCACTCACTTTTAATGTAATTTCTGATATGATTGAATCAATATCTTCCATTTTGTTATTTGTTTTCCATGTTTGATATATTTTCTATTCCTCTGTTCCCCTTTTACTGTTTTCTTTTCTGTTAAGCATATGATTTTCAACAGAAATTGAAGAAAAAATAACAGAATGCAATACATACACACACATTCCTTAATAATTACCTACTTATGTTACATAGGTAGTGTGGTGGTAAATTTTATGTGTCAACTTGGCTGAGGTAAGGGATGCCCAGATATCTGGTAAAACATTATTTCTGGGTGTGTCTGTGAGAGTGTTTCTGGAAGAGATGAGCACTGGAATCAGCAGACTAAATAAAGAAGATCACCCTCACCAATGTGAGTAGGCATCATCCAATCCATTGAAGGCCTGAAAACAACAAAAATGTGTAAGAAGTCCAAATTCCCCTCTGCTTGAGCTGGGACATCCATCTTCTCCTGCCCTTAGGCATAAGTGATCCTTGTTCTCAGACTCAGACCAGGACTTACATTTTGGCTCTTCAGATCACAGGCTTTAGGACTTGGACTGCATTACACCACCAGCTTTCCTGATTCTCCAGCTTGTAGACAGCAGATCATGGGACTTCTCTGCCTCCATAATGTGTGTGCCAATTATTGCAATATATGTCCTCTTACTTTATACTTGTAAATACATAAAGTACACAAACACACAAATACACACACATATATATTCTATTGCCTCCACTTCTCTGAAGAAAACTTACTAATATAGTTAGAATTTCTGTTTGTTGTTGTTGTTTTTCATTCTTTCTTGTAGATATGAATTACTGCCAGTTTTCACTTCCTTTCAGCCTTTAGTATTTCTTGTAAGGTAGGTCGGCTAACAACAAATGCTCTCAATCTTTGTTTATCTGGGAACATCTCTATTTTGCCTTCATTTTTGAAGGATATTGTTGCTAAATGTAGAATTATTTGTTAAAATGTTTTATTTTTTCCTTCAACAACCTGAATGCCATTTACTTATCTTCTGCTGTTAATTTTTTGTGTGTTCAAACATCAGCTGTTAATTGTATTGCTTTTACTCTGTACATGATGAGTCAGTTTCTCAGGTTGTTTTCAAGATTTTATTTTTGTATTTAGCTTTCAGTGGTTTGACTGTGATGTGTCTATATGTGATTTTCTTTGCATCACGATTTTTGGAGCTTTTTGAATCTATGTTTTTTCATCAAATTAGGAAGTTTTCAGACATTATTTTCAAATATTTTTCTACCCCTTTATTCATTTTCTGGGAATCCTTCTATGTCTATGTTTGTATGTTTTAGTTTGGCTTACAAATCTCTGACACTTCATTTTTCTTCATTCTTGTGTTTCTCTGTGTTTTTGGACTAAATAATTTATATTGATTAATCTTCAAGTTCATCATTCTTTCTTCTGCCATCTCAAATTTGCTGTTGATATCATCAAATAAAATTTTCATTTCAGTTAATTTATTTTTTTAAGTGTAGAATTTGTATTTGTTTCCTTTTGTAGCTTCTATTTCTTTTTTAAAAGTCCAAATTTTCTGGATCATTGTCATGATATTTTTCTTTTAATTTGTTGAATATAGTTTCATTTAATTCTCTAGACATTTTATAAAATCTTTTTTCCATGTCTCTGCCTGCTAAATCAATATATGGGGTCATTCAGAACAATTTCTATTGACTGCTTTTGTCCCCTGAGTTTGACTCTCACTTTTCTATGTCTTTACATGATTTATAATATGTGGTTAATAACAGAACATTTTGTAGCAACTCTGGATCTCGTTTCATGTTTTCAAATGTCATTCTTGTTGTTTGCCTTTTTTAGTTACTTTCTCCAACTTAAATGCAGAATCTGCTGAATATGGATGCTAGTGTATTCTTGGTTTTTAATTTTTTTTTAGCCTAGAATTCTAGGATTTTCCCTATGACTATATTGCTTAATGGTTAGCTATTGGGCAGATTGTAAACAAACACCTAAAGCCCATGAGGTTGCACCCCCTGTTGATCAACTTGTGTCCAAGCTGTGAATGTAGTCAAAGTTCCAGCCAGTTCTCAGGTCTCACTTGGCTTTCACTTTTAATGAGGCTTTCTCAGGTCTCTTTTGTTTAAAGCTGGAGTTTCTCATCCAACCTCCACTGCAAATTGGAATTTCTCACCCAACCTCCACTTCAAATATAGATTGACTTTTCTGACACCAAAGCTGCTGCTTTTTTTACAACCAACTTCAAGCAGATAAAACTAAAGTTTCTACCCACTGACCTCGGGGCATGAGGAAGAAGTTGGGAGCATCCCCAGACCAAAAAAACAAAAACAAAATCAAAAACAAAAACAACAACAAAAAAAAAAACAGACTCTGCTATTCTTATCTGAGGCTCTAGTTATTTTTTGAGCATAAATGTTTCTTAATTTCTTATTTGCCTTTCATCAATTTCCAGTGTCCTGAAATGGTTATTTATAATAATTTCATTCAGGTTTATACTTGTTTTGCAAAAGAGAGTTGATGACCTTTTCTGGCCACCATTACTAGAAATTCTGTCCACTTCACTCTCTCTATGGCTCCATTGCCTCCTAATCCAAAACTAGTGTTAAGTCTCAGAAGACCCCTAATTCATAGTATCAGGAACCTGGGAAATGTGTGTAAGAATTGATTCTAAATTTGTTAGACAGAAGAGGAAGAAACACAATATTGAGATAGGCAACGTGTATGGAAGTATGTACTTAGCCAGAGATTCCAGGTCCAATGTATGTGATCAAGTTTAGAGTAGCTCTTGCTGTTTGCTCAGTTGCTGAAATATGGACTCAACCAGGGGAAATCTTAACAGTAACTATTTTCTACAGACTGTAATTGAATATGTGAGATGTTGCCATTGAATGGTTCACTGATTTCAATAGGAAGAATGAAATCCCATTAAGAACCAAGTGGCACCATGTGCCTATCAGATAATAAAGAGTATATGTGGTTAATAAAATGGGTAGGAGTAGTCTTTAGAATTGTTTGCTTGCAGAACTGTTTGGTGCTACATAATTGACCATGACATTCCTGAGACTGAAATAGAATGAAAAATAGATCCATATAATAGTAATAATATGTTTCTAAAATCTCTAGGACTCATGAGCGTAATCCTGACTTGAGTCATCATAATGGAGAATTATACCTCTCATCTAATTTCCAGAGTAGCTCAAGTTTATATTCCCAGAACCTCTTGAATGGTGATATCCTCTTGAGGATGCACCCTATGACACTGCTGTACATACATAATATAAATTCTTTTTGTGGTCTTCTCTAAGACCACATTTATATTATACATAATATAAATTCTTTTATGGTCTTCTGCATCCATTCACCAAGGTAACTGATTATAAGGGTATATGCTGGAGAGATTACTGGACACTGCCTCTGAACTGACTTATCTATGGATACCAAACACAATTGTCTAGTCCATTTTCTGTTGCTATAACAGAATACCACAGACTGGGTAATTTATAAATAACAGAAGTTTGACTCACTGTTCTGGAGCTGGGAGGCCCATGAGAATGGCACTGGCATCTGACAAAGGTCAGCCCATGGTAGAATGAGGAAGCAAGCATGCATGTGAGGCAGAGAGAAAACTGGGCCACATTCATCCTTTTTATCAAGAACCTATTCCCATGATAACTAATGCACTTTGCTGATAACAGTATTAGCCCATTCACGGGAGCAGAGTCCTCATGACCTAATCACCTGTTAAAAGTCCTACCTCTCAACATTGTTACAATTACAATTAAATTTCAACCTGAGTTTTGGCAGAAACATTCAAACCATAGCAACAATGTAGCATAGAGGGTCAGGAAGGTCAACTAAAATTAGCAAATGTTGGTCTGAATTTATTTCATGACATGTCCAGTGATTCCCAAATGTATCCTATTTATTTCCCTATTTCTAAATGTATTATTTGAAATAGACACATTTGGCAACGTATTACACATCAGCTACTTCAACCCATTTCCTAAGTAATTTATGATACCATCAGTTTTGAGTAGGGCCCAAAACAAGGGAAGGCTCTGAAGTTAGTCAAGAATACAGTGTAAGCAGCTCTACCACTAAAGCCTTACAATTCAGTAGATTCCACGTGTTCAATGAGAGTTTATTTTTTATAGTGACTGATATGTGTGTTTATAATATATATTTGTGGCAATATCACAAGGTCTGTTCCTAAAGGTATATGGCCACCTCTTCATTCAAGGGTTCTAGTCTGAAATTGGGTGAGAGGCTATAATGATTCTCCATGTGGAGAATTAAGTTGGTATTCTGTGAAGCTACAATAGGAGGATTACAATGCAGGCCCTTCAGACTTCTTTAAAAAGCTGCACTTTCTCTAGACAAACATCTTTTAAGAAACGACTCAAATCACTGCTACGGCTGGTAAAGGCAGGTCTCTTGACCATGTATCCTAGGATGCCTATTGTGAGCTGGTTCTATGTGTCCCAACAAGCCAAAATCATCTTCATGTCTACTACCCTAGTTCCAGCTCTCATCATATTTCCATTGGAGAACTGCAGTATCTTCCTAATTAAATTTTCTGCTTCCAAATTTACTTCTCCAATTCATTTTTCTCATTTCAACTAGACTTTTTGAAATGCACATCTGATTGTGCTATTCACGGTTTTAAAAGCTTTGCTGGCTCCACATTGGCCTTACAAAGTGGCACAAGACTCTGTATGATCTCATCCCCTATTACCTTCTAACATCATCTCTTCCTCAGACTGTGTGTACAATTTTGCCTTCTTTCACTTCTCAGAATGAGTTATTATCATTAATCTCTCAAGTCCTTCACTCATGTTTTCTCTCTATCTTAAAATTTCTTTCTTGGTTGACCTATATCTATCTTAAATATTCCTGTTTGAACATCATTCCTCAGAAAAGTATTTAAAGTCTTCCCAGACTAGGACAACCTGCCCTCTCTGTTATATGCTCTCATAATGGCTCAAACCTTTCCTTATAGCATTTATTTTTGTTCATAATAATGTATTTACTTGTGAGATGATTTATTTGAAATATGCCTAGGTGGGAAGGCTATTCACTGGACAAGGACAAGAACACCTAATCAGGGAGAGAATGAGGGGTAAAATCTAGCTCACAGTGCACTTGACAAGCCATACATCCTGTTATAGATCTCCCTCTGTCTATAAGCAGGAGTGCCCTTTTACTAATTGTATAAATACAGTCTCTGCTCACAAAGGAGTGTGTACATTGGCTGCATCTACATGAAGAGTCTCCTTTTGCTAATTTGCACAAAGATAATAATGGATTAGCTATAGTTTTGTATGCCTCCCTCCTTGATAAGCTCTATGTGAGCAAACACCATGACTGTTTTTGTCATGCTTGTGTCCTCAATACTCAGCATAATTCATCGCACTTAAGCTCTCCATTAATATTTATTGGTTTAATAAATAAAGAAATGATCCTCAAACGTATAATAAATAGGCCATTTTATTTTGCAGGTTTCTTCTAGGTTCATTGGTTTGTTAACAAAATAGACTTTACATTCTAAGATGCAAGCTGCTTTGGTGAGTCAATAACCAAAGGCAATGAGTTTTGTTTTACTAATTGCCCAAATTCCTAATCAGATCCCTGGGATAGAGTCATACACTTTGCTTCCCTCCGTGCCCTGGAATGATTCTCAAGGGGAAGTCCCCAGAGTTCTAGAGCAGATGAAGTTGCTTCTCTTTCAGGAGTAAACAGAGTTCCTGGATTTGGGGTTGCAAGAGATTTCAACTCTGCAGGAAGACTTCCCAAGCCAGAGGAGTCAATGCTCTGGACCTTGAATTAGTCACCATACTCGAATCTTCCTTCAGACACTCAGGAAGTGCTGATCATCCAGGCTTGAAGCTTTCAATTTCTCCTACTAGACCTTTTGGAGAGGTTCTAATCTCAGGGTTTTTTTGTTGTTGTTGTTTATTTTATTTATTTATTTTCTTTTCATGTTCAAATACACCAGCTAAAAGGAGAATTTCTCTCATTTCCTCTGCCAAGTTTGCAAAAAGTAAGTGGTTATTGATAGGAAAAAAAGGAGAGGAAACTTGATTTTAAATTTTCTGATATACTTCCTTTTTCTCTTCAGTTTTCTGATTATTTTTGTGATATTAGAATTTCATAATTTCCCTGTATCTTGCATGATGGCTGATTGAGAGCTGATGACTTATAAAGTGAAATATAGTATTCTTACAAGCTTTATGTTTAAATAATAAAATCAGCTGCAGAAAATCTTGGAGGGAAGAGTGAATAAGACAACTTTCATAACTCCCAGAATTGTCATCTGTTCCTGATGTCCCTGGCATCTTTTGAGTCAATAAGGCTGAGATGCAGTTTTCATACAGCTATTGTCTCCTTCTTCTCTTACCTGAACACCTTGCCTGAAAATTCATTCAGTAGGGCATTGATCTGTTGGAAATGCATGGGATTTGGAGTTAGAAATATCTTTGTTTCACACCTGCAACTGCCAATTACTAGATCTGTGAGTCGGACTTAAGTAGCTTATCCCACTGAAGTAGCTTATCCCACTGAGCCTCAAATTCTCCACCTACCAAATGGGAGTATTTTATTTCCTTGCAGAGTAATCACTAGCCTTTAGGCTGGTGTATGTTAACCAAATGTTTGTTTCTGCATTTTATTTTCTAACTCCTCAGCCATTTAGAGTATAAGGGCTACCTTCATTTTTCCATCAGCTTTGAGAGTCTATATGCTCCGTTGACACCCCTTATCTATCATGCACAGTCCTGGTCAGATTACTGTTCCTGCCCCTTTTCAGCAACAATGCATGGGGGCATCAGGATCACTACTTTCAGAAAAATGTACTCAGCATAATGTGTGTGTGTGTGGGGGGGGGGCGGGCGGAGGGGTGTGAGAGAGAGAGAGAAAGAGAGAGAGAGAGAAAAAGAGAGAGAGATAGGTGGATGTGAATTAGACTGAGGCTAAGGATTCTAGACAGATAGATACTAGACTTGCCATAGCAGAGAACAATTAAAAGGAACACCATTTTCCTCTGAGCCTCACCCTCCTATCAGATGATAGTAGCTACGTCAGGAACTATGAGGAAATTAGGTAACAATTACACAGTCCATGTTCCTGCCTCTTCACAGAGACATCAAAAGCAACTCAGAATAAGATACAATGATTCCCTTTTTAAAAAATGTCTTCCTAAAGAAGGTTCATTCACTTCTGTATATCAGTGTTTCATGTATCAGTATCTCAGCTGAGATAAAAATATTTTTTTCTTCCAGTAATGAAATTTTTTTAATAGCAAAGGACTCAGTGTTCAGGGTCAAGAGAGCTGAGTTTCCAAGTTAGCTCTGCCATGAACTAAATGTGTGATATTCCTTTTTCCTTTTTGGAATTCAGTTTTCTCACTTTTCTACCACATAGTTATTTCTGATAGATTTATTATGACTTTGAAGAATAAAGAAAACTGTAAAATGCAAAAAACATTCATATACGTTTTTACCATCTTTTTAGAGAAAAGAGCTATTCACAAAAACTTAATTTAAGAATTGGAAAACTAACTCAGAATAATTATTCATGTCCCTTCTTAATGATAATCGTTTGTCAGCATTTAGTTTATCTCTCCATCTTTTCCTATATTGCCCTTTCATGTCTTTTAGCTCTAGCAGCTTCTCAGCTTCTGCAACTTAAAGAGCTTTGTGGATTTTATCCTTTCCTATCTATCTGTATGCCAGTTTTTCTGTCTTTCTTTTGCTTGGGTGCTTCATATGCTCCACATGCCTGCAATTTCCCTAAAGGAAGAGTCCATATTCTCTACCTCTCACTACCCTATAGTTCTATAGTCTAGATTTTCACTTAAATACATTTCTTGGTTTCTGTGTGCCCAAAGAAGTGTTTCTGTGTATATCTGGCAGAAGTGAGGGTCTCTTTCTTCAGACTAGAAGTATCTCAAGAGCATTCCCTTATTCATTAGTTCATTTAACACATACTTATCAAAAACTTAAAATGTGGCAAAAATTAGGATAGCTTTAGCGATATGGAATTGAGAATGATCTCTATAATAAGGAAGCTTAAAATGTAGTTGAAATGTCAGATAATAATTTCAATTGAATGTGACAAGTGCTATTATAGAAGGAATGAAATGCAAAGAGAACCAAGGAGGGAGGGATATCTAGATGGAAAGATGGTTGAGAGAATGGCCTCAAGAAAGGCTTAAAAATTTGAACATACCCTCAACCCCACTGCATAAGTAATACATACTTATCATGGACACTAGGGAAAAATTAGGAGACAGTGGGATCTTACCCATAATTACACCATGCAGAACCATATTCTACTAACATTTAGATCATTTACATTCAGCCTTTCTCTATGCAGATATTCATATAATTGAGATTATTTTGTACATACTATATCATATCCTGCTTCACTTACTATTTTCCACTGAATTATAAAATTATCATATGCATTATGTTTAAAGCTGCATAATACATATTTTTAAAATAATGTTGCATTACTTTTTGTTTACAAATGTTACATATATTCATTTATGAATTCTCTGAGTGTTTTTTCTATGTTCACATATTTACTTATACATGGATATATATCTTTCTTTTGTTTACAATATTGGGATCATATGACCTTTACCATTTTATAATATTTCTTCCATTTAACAATATCGTGAAGAGTTTTCTAGATGTGTAACATTATAAGTTTTATTGTAAAATATGGAATGCATTTAAAAATGTATGCAAAAACATACATTTTAAGAGGAATAACAAAACAAACACTTAGGTCCACTCTACCCAGGCTGAGAATTAGAATATCATCATGAATCTAGAAGCCTCATAAATGCTCCTTTCAGAAACTTTAAATATATGCCAACTAGTCCCTGTCATGAACTTTAGGTTACAGCATTTCCATATTTTTAAAAAATAGGGTATCCCTAAATAATAAATTATCTAATCCTGCCTTCCTTTGAATGTTAAATAAATGGGATACACACACGATGCATGCACACACACACACCATATATAATATATTGAATTTATATATAATCACTCAATCATAATCTCTCTATATAATATATAAATGATGTGCTTCCATTATTCAATATAATCATAATAACTCTGAGATTCATTCATGTTGATTTGAAAAAATGTTATTAGTCCTTTTAATTATCTTTAATATGAGTCAGCAAACTTTTTCTGTAAAGGACTAGTT
Organism: Homo sapiens; assembly: GCF_000001405.40. Lineage (NCBI taxonomy): Eukaryota > Metazoa > Chordata > Mammalia > Primates > Hominidae > Homo > Homo sapiens. The sequence goes on from NW_025791759.1 coordinate 97,222, forward strand.
AGTAATTATTTTAGTCTTCGCAGGCCATGCGGTCTCTGTTGCACCTACTCAACTCTATTATAGTACGAAAGCAGCCATACACAATACATAAACAAATTGATGTGATTGTGCTCCAATAAAACTTTATTTATAAAAACATTTGACTGCTCTGTAGGTTTTGGTTTACCCACCCCTCCTCTGTAGTAATTCACTCAATGCCCTATCACAGTTCATTGTGAAATTTTGTTTCAATTTAAATGTTCTTTCTACTTCTGAAGAACATTTGACTTGCTTCAGTTTTCCTTTTTTTCTTTTTGTTTAAACAAACAAAACTGTAAACTTTGTGCATTTGTCTTTTGAGTTTTTATGGATTAAATATCTAACGGTAGAATTCCTGGTTTATAGAACATGTTTGTTTTCAGCTGTAGCAGGTAATGTCAAACTGTTTTCCAAAATGATTGTATCAATTTACTCTCCCACCAGTAGGAGACTGGAGCTTCCCTTGCTCTATATTTGGCACAATTTTGACTATTGACCATCTTATGAGAATGAAATGGTCTATGTTCTTAATTTTTGGGGTGTGGTCTTGTTTTTCCCTGGCTACTAATGATGTTAAAGGCTTGTTCACATGTTTATATGAGATTTGTGCTTCCTCTCATATGAAATTCCTATTTATTCCTCTTATCTATCATTATATTAAACTGATTTTTTTCTCTTTGATTCTCAGAATCCATTTGATACTCCAAATACTAGTATTTTATCTAATTTTTGTTGCTAATATCTTTTCTCTATTTTTACCTTGCTTTTTTTCTTTTTTGTGATTCTGGAAAACACAAATTAATTTTTATATAATAAAGGTTGTCATTTTTTGCTGTTTTGTACCTTAAGGAATCATTTATCTCAAGTTTTAAAAATATTCTCACATAGTGTCTTCTAAATATTTAATAGAGTTTTTTGTTTGTTTATAGGTTTTTAATCCATTTGTGATTGAATTTTGTATGGTATAAGCTAACCTAATTTCATTTTTTCCTCATATGAATGACCAACTATTGCATTAATTGACTAGTCTGTGCTTTCCATCAATCAGGAATGCCAGCCCCGTTTGAATAATTTTCATATTTTAGAATTCCATTTTCTCTCATTGGTTTGAGTGCTTATCCCTGTGCCAAAACCATGCCTTCTTAATTACTACAGCTTTATTATAGTAAATGATATTTGAAGGACAAGTTCTCTCCATTTGTTTCTTTTCTTCAAGAATGTTTGGCTATTCTTCAATGTTTGTGCTTCCATATACAGTTTAATATGAGTTGTCAATCTAAAAAACAAATAACACAAAACAATCTATTTAGGATTCTGATTGAATTGCATTGAACTCATCAGTCAATTGTGCACTAATTGTAATATCATAATATTGTATCTTCGAATACATAAGCATAACCGTTTATTTCTGTCTTTTTTGTAAGGTATTGTAATTCTTGATATTGTAATTCTTAATATAAAGTTCTTTATTCATGGATACTTTATTTTTTTGAAGCTATTATAAATAATAGTGGCTTTATACTTTGCTATCATTTGTTGAAATACTGAAATAAAGTGGATTTTTACATATAAATTTTGTACCAAAAAGTTTGTTAAACTTTCTTAATAATTCTAATAATTTATCAGAAATTTATTTCAGATTCTCTGTGTATAGAGTCACATCATCTAAAAAAAAAGTGGTGTTCTCTGTATTGCCTGAGAATACTATAAACACCTCTAAGCAAACAAACTAGAAAATCTAGAAGAAATGGATAAATTCCTGGACACATACACCCTCCCAAGACTAACTAGGAAGAAGTCGAATCCCTGAATAGACCAATAACAGGTTCTGAAATTGAGGCATTAATTAATAGCCTGCCAACCAAAAAAAGTCCAGGATTAGACAGATTCACAGCTGAATTCTACAAGAGATACAAAGAGGAGCTGATACCATTCCTTCTGAAACTATTCCAAACCACAGAAAAGGAGGGAATCCTCCCTAACTCATTGTATGAGGCCATCATCATTCTGATACCAAAACCTGTCAGAGACACAACAAAAAAAGAGAATTTCAGGCCAATATCCCTGATGAACATTGATGTGAAAATCCTCAATAAAATACTGGCAAACCGAACCCAGCAGCACATCAAAAAGCTTATCCACCACGATCAAGTTGGCTTCATCCCTGGGATGCAAAGCTGGTTCAACATATGCAAATCAATAAATGTAATCCATCACATAAACAGAACCAATGACAAAAACCACATGATTATTTCAGTAGATGCAGAAAAGGCCTTCAACAAAATTCAGCAGCCCTTCATGCTAAAGACTCTCAATAAACTAGGTATTGATGGAATATATCTCAAAATAATAAGAGCTATTTATGACAAACTCACAGCCAATATCATACTGAATGGGCAAAAACTGGAAGCATTCCCTTCGAAAACAGGCATAAGATAAGGATGACCTCTCTCACCACTCTTATTCAACATAGTGTTGGAAGTTCTGGCCAGGGCAATCAGACAAGAGAAAGAAATAAAGGGTATTCAATTAAGAAAAGACGAAGTAAAATTGTCTCTTTTTTCAGATGACATGATTGTATATTCAGAAAACCCCATAGTATCAGCCCCAAATCTCCTTAAGCTGATAAGCAACTTCAGCAAAGTCTCAGGATACAAAATCAATGTGCAAAAATCACAAGCATTCCTATACACCAATAATAGACAAAGAGAGAGCCAAATCATGAGTTAACTCCCATTCACTATTGCTACAAAGAGAACAAAATACCTAGGAATACAACTTACAAGGGATGTGAAGGACCTCTTCAAGGAGAACTATGAAGCACTGCTCAAGTAAATAAGAGAGGACACAAAAAATGGAAAAACATTCCGTGTTCATGGATAGGAAGAATCAGTATTATGAAAATGGCCATACTGCCCAAAGTAATTTATAGATTCAATGCTATCCCCATCAAACTACTATTGACTTTCTTCACAGAACTGGAAAAAACTACTTTAAATTTCATATGGAATGAAAAAAGAGCCTGCATAGCCAAGACAATCCTAAGCAAAAAACAAAGCTGGAGGCATTAAGTTACCTGATTTCAAACTATACTACAAGGCTACAGTAACCAAAACAGCATGGTACTGGTACCAAAACAGATATATAGACCAATGGAACAGAACAGAGGCTTCAGAAATAACACTACACATCTACAACCATCGGATCTTTGACAAACCTGACAAAAACAAGAAATGGGGAAAGGATTCCCTATTTAATAAATGGTGTTGGGCAAACTGACTAGCTATATGCAGAAAGCTAAAACTGGATCCTTTCCTTACACCTTTTGCAAAAATTAACTCAAGATGGATTAAAGACTTAAATGTTACATGTAAAACCATAAAAACCCTAGAAGAAAACCTAGGCAATACCATTGAGGACATAGGCATGGGCAAAAACTTCATGACTAAAACACCGAAAGCAATGGCAACAAAAGCCAAAATAGACAAATGGGATCTAATTAAACTAAAGAGCTTCTGAAGGCAAAAAAAAAACTATCATCAGAGTGAACAGGCAACCTACAGAATGGGAGAAACTTTTTGCAATCTATGCATCTAACAAAGAGCTAATATCTAGTACCTACAAAGAATTTAAACAATTTTACTAGAAAAAACAACCCCATCAAAAAGGGGGTAAATAATATGAACAGACACTTCTCAAAAGAAGACATTTATGCAACCAAGAAACATGAAAAAATGCTCATCATCACTGGTCATTAGAGAAATGCAAATCAAAACTACAATGAGATACCATCTCATGTCAGTTAGAATGGTGAAAAAGTCAGGAAACAACAGATGCTGGAGAGGATGTGGAGAAATAGGAACACTTTTAGACTGTTGGTGGGAGTGTAAATTAGTTCAATCACTGTGGAAGACAGTGTGGCGATTTCTCAAGGATCTAGAACTAGAAATACCATTTGACCCAGCATCCCATTACTGGGTATATACCCAAAGGATTATAAATCATTCTACTATAAAGACACATGCACACGTATGTTTATTGCATCACTGTTCACAATAGCAAAGACTTGGAACCAACCCAAATGCTCATCAATGTAGACTGGATAAAGAAAATGTGGCACATATACTCCACGGAATACTATGCAGCCATGAAAAAGGTTGAGTTCATGTCCTTTGCAGGGATGTGAATGAAGCTGGAAACCATCATTCTAAGCAAACTAGCACAAGAACAGAAAACCAAACACTGCATGTTCTCACTCATAAGTGGGAGTTGAACAATGAGTACACATGGACACAGGGAAGGGAACATCACACACCAGGGCCTATCAGGCGGTGGGAGGCTAGGTAAGGGATAGCACTAGGAGAAATACCTAATGTAGATGACGGGTTGATGGGTGCAGCAAACCACCATGGCACATGTATACCTATGTAACAAAACTGCACGTTTGCACACGTACCCCAGAACTTACAGTATAATAAAAAATAAAATAAAATAAAGCACCAAAAAAAGAAAAAAGAAAGAAAGTGTAAAGGAATAAAATGTCCTGGAATCACTAAAATAAAAAGAAAGTTAAGTTTTATTCCTTTCTTTTCAATCCTTGTACCTTTAATGTCTTTTTATTGCTTTATTAGGCTGGCTAGTATATTCAATACAATGTCAAAGAGAAGTGGATAAAGCCGTCACCCTTGTCTTCTTCTTAATCTTAAAGATAATCATTCAATATCTTACCATTAAGTTTGATGTGGGATGTAGAATTGCATACATATGCTTTATTAAGTTAAAGAAAATATTTTAGTCCTAGTTTACTAAGGGTTCTTCTCAAAATAGACATTGAATTTTAAGAATGCTTTTGTGGCAGCTATTAAAATAATCATATGACTTTTTTGAGGTACTTTATTTGAGGAAATATATAATTGGACTGTTTAAATGTTAAACAGACTTTACATTCTGAAATAAAACCAACTTGGTCATGTACCCATTTTATTATACATTGCTGGATTTGGTTTGATAACATAGCTGTCTCTCAGTATCCATGAGGGATTGGTTCCAGGACTTCTCATGGATATCAAAATTCACAGATGTTCAAGTCCATGATACAAAATAGTGAAGTACTTGCATATAACCTATGCACATCCTCCTTATACCTCAAATCATCTCTGGCTTACTTATAGTACCTGATACAATGTAAATGCTATATAAATAGTTATTACACTGTATTGTTTAGGAAATAGTGGGGAAAATGTCTGTACACGTTCAGTACAAATGCATTTTTCCCAATATTTTTGATCCATGAAATTGCGACAAGATGAAATTTTCTGTCTTAATTATACTATAGTCTGGGAATGTGATTACCTTTTAAGAAGATCCAGTCCTTAAAAAAATGTTGGGACCAATTTCATGGACCATTGATGATCATTTTTTAAAATGACCCAGGTGTACTTAAGAAGAATGCTTTATATCAAAATTTTAAATAATAGTGCTCAAATCTTGTGTGTCTTTATTTTCAGTCCAAGGACTTAATCTGCCATGTCCCTAAAAAAGAAAGTTGATTCACTGAGTTTTGAACTGAGTCTCTGCTGTGTTGCATTTTTGCTCTCTGTAGTGTACTCCAGAGCACAGTTATTTTTTGCTAAAAGATGTTGTGGACTTTGTCTTATTCTTTCAGACCTGAGATTCTCAATGAAGAGAGCCAATCACACAGAGTTAAGAGAGTTTGTTTTCCAAGGTTTCTCCAATTTTCCAGAACATCAGCTCACATTTTTTGTGGTCTTTCTCGCCCTCTACATTCCTAACTCTGGCTGGCAATTTCATCATTCTGGCCATAATCTATGTTGACCATCACCTCCATACTCCTATGTACTTCTTTTTAAGTGTGCTATCCACTTCAGAGACTTTCTATTCCCTGGTCATTATCCCACGCATGCTTTCCAGCCTTGTAGGCCTGAGCCAATCCATTTCCCTGGAGGGCTGTGGGACTCAGATCTTTTTTTTTCTTGGCTTTGCCATCACCAACTGCCTCCTGCTAGCAGTAATGGAATATGATCACTACGTGGCCGTCTGCAACCCACTTCGATACTCAGTCATCATGAATTGGAGGGTGTGTGCTATACTGGCATCATCAGTCTGTGCCACAGGGTTCTCACTCTCACTGGTTCAGACTGTGGCCATTTTCAGGTTGCTCTTTTGCACCCCACTGATTGAGCATTTCTTCTGTGATGTTCAGCCTGTGTTGGACCTGGCCTGGGCTACCCCAATGATCAATGATATTCTGACCTTAATTATGAGCCTCCTTGCCATCACAGCCCCAGCCATCTTCCTCTTCATCTCTTATGTCCTTATTATTTCCACCATTCTCAAGATCACCTCAGCTGAAGGCGGGAAGAAGACCTTTGCCACCTATGCATCCCACCTCACTGTGGTCATTATCCACTATGGCTGTGCCTCCATTGCCTACTTCAAGCCCAATTTGGAGAATACCAAAGATCAGGATCAGTTAATCTCAGTGACCTACACTGTCATAACACCTTTACTAAACCCTGTTGTGTATGGTCTGAGAAATAAAGAAGTCCAGGATGCTCTGCAGAGAGTGCTGGGTAGGAAATTCTTCTCCTAAGACGATAATCTTTTCTTAAATAGTTATGGGTGCCTTCCAGATGGAAGCCTATTGGTAAAGTCATAGAGCCAGAATTTTATGGGATCAGTGAAGCCTCATACATCACAGTCAGTGCCAAGGCAAGAGAGAAACTAGGAGCTAGCCTCTAATAATTGAGGATCATTTTCTGAACCTCTTTCAAAACAGAATAAAAACACAGGTCACTTGAAACACCTGTAGACAGACACCCATTGGCCCTACTCAAGGAGATCATGACAAGGCCAATGTATGAGCTAGTGTTCATCTCAAGCTTAAATTTAAAGATACCAGTCCATCTTGCTGAAGTGCAAACCATATGAAATTACTCAACTGAATTTTTTGTCATAAATTGGATGCTTGAACAAGTGGCTATTACTGAAAAGGATATGTGCAAAAATCTAATTGCCTTGTGTTTTAATAAGATAAGCAAAGCAAGAACATTTTTTAAGACATGGGTTTGGAATGAGCTAAAAACTTTTTAGAAAGAACATTTTCAGGCAATCCCCTGCACATTTCCTGCCACCCACATGTGGGACTCCAAATGAAGGGGAACTAGGTGGTGAAAGTGGGGAGTAGTAAGGACATTGAGTGGAGAAGACTCCTAATCAGCATATGACAGCTATGAGACTTGAGGCTTGTGAACAGAGCACACGTAACTTGGTCTGATTCTTTGCTTCTTCTGGCTGAAGATAAGCCACATGGAGGAGAAGGCCTTGTGGGGCTGACAGAAATGCCTTCCTCATGAACAGGATCAGAAGAGGAGACGGCTCAGGAAGCAGAATGCTACAAAATGTTATGAAATTGGTTAGGAAGAAAGACACTTCAGAAGCAGATGCAGATGGGAGTGATAGATGAGAAGGGAAGGACAAGGCGAGGGTCAAAACGACCAAAAATCATTTTTAAAATCATTTCAGATTGGGTCCTCTCTTTCCCTTTGTAGGCCAAGTCACAAATGCAAAGAAAGACAATTAAATGGAAACGTGAAAGAGTCAACATAACACCTTTCTGAAAAAGTAGGTAATTTCACTACTCCCGAAAAACTGAACAAAGTCAACAGTAAGGGCTTTTGACATGAAAACTTCCATAAAGTTAAAGCAACTGAGTTAAAAGTAGATTAAAAAAAGACTATGTACTGTTCCTCACTTCAAAAAAATGTTAAAAACATTAGGGTGAATTTTAGACTCAATTTGTGGGACAAAATATGTGATGATTAAAACTATAATGATTAACAGTTATAATTACTGACCAAATTAATGTCACAATACAAAGATATTTATAAAAAGACATACAAGAAATACATGAGTACACAGGATTCTCATTGTAAAATATTTTTAAAATGCAGAAATGTCAAATAAAATGTGTAAACCAATTGTGAATTATATAGGCTATCTATGCAAGTGCATACAAAGGTTACTTTTAGAAAGTTCTGCAATTCATTTTACTTTGTAATTCTCAGCTCCGAATCTGCTTGATGAAAAAAAAAGTAATCTAAACCTTTTCATGTAAACTCAAGCAATTAATGATTAATAAGTCATGTTATGAGTAAAAACAATAACATTAAAAGTTCTGCTTCTCCCCTTTCTTCCACTTCCCCATTATCCTTGGGGTGAATCAAGTTCAGGTCAAGATTTCCAGCTTTCTGGAAGAAGAAGAACTTTATCCAGGTTCATTTCTACCTCCTCAGATTGGATTCTCTGGAGATACATGAGCCCCAATGGCTCATGTATCTGTTGCCATTAATTGAGATGAGTCCAGTCTTGCCATGGTCCTTATCAATATAGTCCCTGCACTTCATATCTTCCTTATGACCATTTTGAGGCTACTCTAGGTTCTTTGTACTTCTCTCTGCCACTTCTTGAGGGCACCTGGACATTTAACTGCACCCTTGACCCTGTAGAGGAGTGGATGAAACTCAGTGAGGTATCATTGAGCCATCACCTGCTGCCTTACTCACCCATTTCTACTCCATCAGTATTCAAGCCTTTTCTAAGAGGCTTCTCTGAAAAGTGAGGGGCATACCTTCTCTGCTTCAATCAGATTCTTTCCTTCCTTCCTTACATCAGGGTTTATTTGGGGTAGGACCAAGAGTGGGCTTTCCACAATATATAACTCTGGTGCCATCTTCTCCAAAGGCTGGATGGCTTTGTTTTATTTTGGAAAAAAAAAAAAACCTTAATTATTTCCAACTCCACAATGCACAGTTTACATTTCATATACAAAGTACTTTAGTACTTAGGCTTTTGATATTCAAAACCATTCTTTGTAAATTAAGAGGTTTTCCACTCTAGAAAAGTTTGCTAAACTTAAAAACTATTTCAGCTTTCAATACAAATGTTTCAGTTATGAGCTTTATAAACATATTTTTGAAATTCAGTTGACTTTTTCTTGCATTCTTTTGGGTTTATCCTTCACTGGGGCAAATAAATGTCCCCTGGAATAATAAGAATTTTAAAAAGAAGGAAAGCATTGGATTATTATCATATAACATTATTCCATAATATTTCTTCCAAGAGTATTTTTTGTGGAGATTCATAAAACATTTGCTTCCCCAGAATATAAAATTTGATTTCAAAATATGACTCTCCAGTAACAGATAAATCTTCAGCCATAAGGGATGGGGTTCTTACCTTCCTAGACTGGAAGATACTTATGTTTACCAGCAGTATCTACCTCCTACATAGTGGGTAAAGTTTTCACCTCCTCCTAGGGGGACATTCCTCTTTTTGCACAGGGCCAGCTCCTCAGAGTGTCCAATACAACTATTGTGAAGTTATCAAGTCCTGGGCTTTTCTTTGATAGGAGACTTGTTACTGCTTCAAAATCATTACACATTATTAGTCTGTTCAGGTTTTCTATTTCTTCATAGTTCAATCTCGGTAGGTTGTATGTGTTCAGGAATTTATGCATTTCCCCTAGTTTCTCCAATTTGATGGTGTATAGTAGTTCACAATGCTCTTTATTGATCCTTTGCATTTCTGGGTATCAGTTGTGATATTTCTTTTTTCATTTTTGATGTTATTTATTTGGGTCTTCTCTCTTCTTTTCTTGGTTATTTTAGCTAAAGGTTTGTCAATTTTATCTTTTCCACAAACCAACTTTTTGTTTTGTTGCACTTTTGGATTATTTTCCTAGTCTAAATTTCATTTATTTCTGTTAAGATCTTTATTTTTTTTCCTTCTATTTTTTTTTTATTTTTGCTTTTCTAGTTCCTTAAAGTGCATCATTAAATTGTTGACTTGGAGTCTTTCTGTTTGGGGGATGCAGGCATTTATTGCCATAAAATTCTCTCGTAGTAATGCTTTTGCTGTATCCCAAAAGATTGGGTATGCTGTGCTTCCATTTTCACTTATTTGAATAAATTTTTAAATTTCCTTCTTGGCTGGGCGCTGTGGCTCACGCCTGTAATCCCAGCACTTTGGAAGGCCGAGGCGGGCGGATCACGAGGTCAGGAGATCCAGACCATCCTGGCTAACACGGTGAAACCCCGTCTCTACTAAAAATACAAAAAATCAGCTGGATGTGGTGGTGGGCACCTGTAGTCCCAGCTACTCGGGAGGCTGAGGCAGGAGAATGGCGTGAACCCGGGAGGCGGAGTTTGCAGTGAGCCGAGATAGCGCCACTGCACTTCAGCCTGGGCGACAGAGCAAGACTCCATCTCAAAAAAAAAAAAAAAAAAAAAAAATTCCTTCTTAATGTATTTGCTGACTCATTGGTAATTCAGGAACACGTTCTTTCATTTCCACGTATGTGTACAGTTTTAAAAGTTCCTGTTATTGATTTCTAATCTTACACTGTTGTGATCAGAAAATATATTTGATATGATTTTGATTTCTTCGAATTTTTCAAGACTTGCTTTATGCTCTAATATATGGTGTCTCCTGGATAATGTTACATGTGCTGATGAGAAAAAAAATGTACATTCTGCAGCAGTTGGATAAAATATTCTGTAAATGTCTGTCAGACCCACTTAGTCCAGAGTGTAGTTTAATTCTGATGTCCATTTGTTGATTTTCTGCCTGGATAATCTTTCAAGTGCTGAAAGTGGAGTGTTGGAGTCCCCTACTATTATCGTATTATAGTCTATCTTTTAGATGTATTAATAATTGCTTTATATATTTGGGTGCTCCAGTATTGGGTACTGTATATTTATTATTGTTATATCTTCTTGCTGAATTGACTTTCTTATTATTATATAGTGATCTTCTTTGTCTCTTTATACAGTTTTTGACTTAAAGTCTATTTTATCTGATACAAGTATAGCTACTCCTGCTCTTTCTTGATTTCCATTTGCATAGAGTATCTTTTTCCATCTCTTCCCTTTCAATAAATGTGTGTCTGTATAGGTGAACTGAGTCTTGTAGGCAGGATATAGTCAGGTCTTCCTTATTTATCCTTTCAGCCACTCTATGTCTTTAACTGGAGAATTTAATCCATTTACATTCAATGTAATTATGATAGGTAAAGCCTTGCTACTGCCATTTTGTTACTTCTTTACCAGTTGTGGTGTAACTCCTCTCTTCTTTTCTAACTGTCTTTCTTTATATTGAAGTTATTTTCTCTGGTAGAGTATTTTAATTTATAGCTTTTTTAGTGTATCTATTATATGCTTTTGCTTTGTGATTAACATGAAGCTTACACAAACATCCTATAGTTATAACACACAATTAAAAACTTATTTAAACTTAGCTTTAATCACAAGAAAATAACAGTAACAAAGCAAAAACAAAATAAAAAAAAATGTGTACAGACTACCTTCTCCCCCACATATTTTGAATTTCTGATGTCACAATTTAAAATTTTTATATTGCCTATACCTTAAATTGCTGTAGCTATTGTTCTTAATTTGTCTTATTTTCTCTTTCAGTCTTCTTAGTAAAGATAGAAGTGGGTCAAACACCACAATCACAATATTAATATTAACAATCGTGTTAGCATTCTTTCCTTTGGGTTTGAAGAACTTTCTTCAGCAGAGTGCTCATTTTTCTCAAATGAACATGGAAAATTCTTTAGAATAGATCATATGTTAAATCACAAAACAAACCTTAACAAATTTGAAAAAAATGGAAACATATCAAGTATTTTTTAATACCACAATGGAATGAAATTAGAAATCAATAACAGCAATAAAATGGAAAAATTTTATATTACATGGAAATTAAACAACACACTATAACTATTGGGTCAAAGAGAAAATCAAAAAGGAATCTAAAAAATATGTTGAAACAAATGAAAACAAAATTAAAACATGCCAACACTATAGGATGCAACAAAAGCAGTCCTAAAAGTTTATGATCATAAATGCCTACATTTAAAGAAAGACAGATCTCAGATGCAGAAACCTAACTATACACCTCAAGGGACAAGAAAAAAGAAGAACAAACTACACCCAAAGTTAACAGAAAAATAAAATAATAAAGATTAGAGCAGAAATAGAGAATCGAAAAACAACAGAAAAATTAACAAACCTAAAAGTTCTTTCTATAAAAAAGATAAATTAAATGGACAACCCTTAGCTAGAATAAAAGAGAAAATAAGAGACAGAAGACTCATATAAATTTAGAAGTGAAGAAAGAGACATTACAACAGATGCCTAAGAAATAAAAAAGATCATAGAGATTTCTATGAACAATTAAAAGGCAACAAATTATATTTGTATAGCCTGGAAGAAATGGATAAATTTCTAGAATTATGCAGCCTACCAAAACTAATCAAGAAGAAATAGAAAACTTGAACAGATGAAAATAATCAGTAGATTGACTCAGTATTAGAATCCTTCCAACAAAGAAAAGCCCAGGACCAGATGGCTTTATGAATGAATCCTAGCAAACAGTCAAAGAAAATTTAATATAAGTCCTTCTTAAACGCTTCTAAAAAATAGAAGAGAAAACAGTTCTATACTCATTTGATAAGGCCAAAGCCAAAGACACCACAAGAAAAGAAAACTGCAAGTCAAAATCTCCCATGAATATAGATGAAAAATCCTGAATAAAATACCAGCTATCTAAATCCAATAGTACACCACAAAGATTATACGCCATGGCCAAATGGGATTTATCTCTGGAATGCAGGGTGAAATCAACATAAGCAAATTAATCATTATGATACATCACATTAACGGAATGAAAATAAATCACATGATAATCTCAATAGATGTAGAAAAAAGCATTTTACAAAGTTTGACATTCATTCATGATAACAACTCTCAGTAAAATATGTAAAGAAAGAAGTAACATAAACATGATAAAGGCTATTTATGAAAAACCCACAGATAATATCATAATCAATAGGGAAAAACAACTTTTTCTCTAAAATCCAATATAAGGCAAGAATGCTCACCCTTGCCACTCTATTCAACATAGTACTGGAAGTCCTAGAAAGACAAATAGAAAAGAGAGAGAAAGAAAAGGCATTGAAATTAGAAAGGGAAAAGTAAAATTATCTCCGTTTGCAGATGACATGATCCTCTATGTAGAAAACCCTAAAAACTCCATGAAAGAAAAAAAAACTGTTAGAATAAATAAATTCACTAAAGGTACAGGATACACATTCAGTGTACAAAGATCAATAGCATTACTTTGCATCAAAAATAAACTATACACGAAGAAAATTTTTAAAAATCTCATTTACAATAACATAAAAAAGAATAAATTACTTAAGAACAAATTTAACCAGGGAGGTGAAAGATTTGTATACTGAAAACCAAAAAATATTGATGAAAGAAATTAAAGAAGAAACCAATAAATGGAAAGATATCCCGTGTTCATGGATTGGAAGAATTTATATTATTAAAATGTCTATAATACCTAAAGTGATTTATAGATTGAATGTAATCTATATTTATTAGAATTTCAATTGTATTTTTTACAGAAATAAAAGGAAAAATTCTAAAAATTTGTATGGAACCACAAAAGATCCCAAATAGCCAAAGTAATCTTGAGAAACAAGAGAAAAGCTGAAGGCATCACACATCCTGATTTAAATATATTGCAAAGCTGTAGTAATCATACAGTATAATACTGGCATAAAAACAGCAACATAGACCAATGGAACAGAATGAAGAGCCCAGAAATAAAACCACATGTACAAAATTAACCAATCTTCAATAAAGGCACCAAGGACATAACATGGGGAAAAGATAATCTCTTGTTGTGTTGGTAAAATGTGATATCCACATGCAGAAGAAAAGAAAACTACAGGTTATTATTTTACAGCATACACAAAAATTAATTCAGAACAGATTGAAGACTTAAACCTAAGACCTGAAATCATAAAAATTCCTAAAAGAAAACATAGGAAAAAGATGCTTAACAGTCTTGGCAATGATTTTTTTTTCATATAACACAAAAAGCACAGGTAACAAAAGCAAAAATAAATAAGTGGGACTACAACAAACTAAAAAGCTTCTGTTTAGGAAAAAAAAAAAGAATGTTGTGTCTGTACTGAACATGCACAGACTTTTTTTCTTGTCATTATTCTCTAAGCAATACAGTACAACACTCATTTACATAACACTTACATTTGATTAGATGTTATAAGTAATCTAGAGATGATTTAAAGTAAATGGGAGGATGTGCATAGGTTGCATGCAAAGATTATGCCATTTGATATAACGGACTTGAGCATCCTCAGATTTTACTAGCCGTAGTGCATCTTGGAACAAATCTACGTGGATACTGAAGGACCACTGTATACCTTACTTTGTTTCTTACAACCAAATAAATTTCAGATGAATCAATATTGAAGCATACGAAGTATATGGGACAGCATGGTGCTTTTTAAAAATAATCTTGGAGTTAGGAAGTCCCTTTTAAGCACTAATCAAAACGCATAAGCAATAAAGTTTGATTTCAAGAGATAAATACATGAATATAATATTGCAAAAATTTCAAACACACAAATCCAGTAAAAATGATAAATGGAAGAACAATATTTGCAATATATATGATAAAAGGCATATTTTCTTATCTTAGCACTCACAAGAAAAGGACAACTAACACTATGAAAAATGAGCAAGATACGTAAATGGACATTCGCAGCATATAAAGTAGAAATTGCTAATAAGCATATGAAAAGATACTTAACCTTATTTGTAATTAAAGAAATTAAAATTCAAAGGAAAAAATAATAAACCCCTTTTACCTTTAAGTTTGCCCATTTTTTAAGGAGTTGGTAATACCCATCATTGATGAAAGTGTGGGTGAGGAAGCATTCTCAGTGTTGCCGAGTGTGTAAATGAATGTATCCTATTTTGGTTTCAGTTTGGCAATAGTTATTAAGATTTTAAAGGCACATATTACTGATCAAGGAATTTTACTTTCAGGAATGTATTCTATAGATGAGCTGCCAGAAGTACACAAATATATATGAACAATTCTATTATTCCTCAACAGTAGAATGGATTAAAAATATCGAGATATATTCACATAATGGAATAGTATAAGGCAGCTAGTGAACTATAGCTCTTTCTGGATATTATTAGTGTAACTGAATTATAAAAAGAAGCAAGTCTTAGAAAAGTGTATACAGTATTACATTTTATAAAGCTCAAAAGTAGGTATAGCTAAGTAATGTATTTTTAAACATACATACATATGTCATAAAGATATAACAATAAATAAGATACAATAAATATAAAAATTAGAATAATAGTAACCACTGGTGGGGGTGAGGGGTACAGTGTGAAGAAATAGGGAGGTGGGAAAAATGAAAAATACATAAGTGTAGCTCTTGAGTTAAGTTGAGTGATAGATTCCTAAATGTTCATCTTATTGTTATGCTCCACAACTTAAACACAGTGTTTTGTAAACATCAAGTGTTATATTAAAAATAACAAAAATATATATATTTTGTACATTAAAAAATATAATAACATATGCCAAACCTATACGTGGACACAGAATGCTTAGGCAAATCATAACTGGTGGCTTCTTGTCTGCCTAGCCAGAGCTTTGTTAACTTTGAAAGTTGTTTAGAAACTTTAGTCTTGCCTTTTACAGTTATCATCTAGTCCACTAAATGTATATCTTTTACATTTACCAACTCAAATTGATATCATCTTGAGTTTCTAATAGGTTAGCAGGTGATCTAGAACCTCCCTTTTTGGTGTCTTACATTTTCCCTTTATTTTTCTAATCCCTGTAACTTAAGTATTACAATAGACTGATGAAGTTGACATAAACACTTAAGAAGGGAGAGTCTAGAGTTTGAGTTGTCTATTTTTTTTTCCTATTTCCCTTTGAGGGCATCTAATCTAAATTGTCCAAGAGAAGATACTGGCCATCTACTAATTTACTGTGGCAGACTATATTTTCAAAAAATGGACATATCTCTTTTATTCCTCATGCTCTTCTTAGAGTGTGCCATTCCCTCATTAAGAGGTGAGGTCTGTACTCTCACCCCTTGAAACTGAGTGGACCTTTGTTACTTCTTGACTAAAGCAGTGGGGAAGCCCAGGCCACATGGAAAGATGATGTGTAGGTATTTCAGTCAATAGGCAATATCAACTGACTGGCACGTGAGTGAGCAAGTTCCATCTACCTCCTGAACAAAATTGCATGACAGACTCTAAGTGAGAATAGCCCAGTTGAAATCAATCACCCATACAGAGGTAATTACAAATGATTGTTGTTGCTTTATGCTCCTAAGTTTGGGGTACTGTGTTATGCAACACTAGACTAGAACGTCTGGGTTTCAGTACAAGCAATTATGGACATAGGCAGCTATACTTACACATGGGGACTATCCTACATACTCAGTGCTAAGCAGAGTTAGAGGCATCAAGCATAGATCCCAGAGACACTGCACTTCCTGGTTCTCAGCCCTGTCCATTGTTTATACAGCCAGATCTTGAGAAACCTGCCAACCAGGAGTTAGAAGTTATTTGACCATCAAACTCCTAACAGACCCCAGCCTACTGTCCTTCATTTTCCTGGTTATTTATAAACACAGAATTCGGCTAGATTTCATATTTAACCCTTGAAACATGAAAGGACACCCCTTTACTGGCAAATAAGGTTATTAGTACATTCACCCCCAAGATGTCCTCCTAATCTGTTGACAGGAAGTTCAGATTGCTACAATACAAAGTTCTCTCTATCCTTTTTCTGTGTTGATAAAGCTGTCCTAATTTTCTCTGCTGAAAGGGTCTTTATATCTACTTCCCGTCTAGGGGAGGGAGCCTCTTTATGCCTCAGTGCAGATTTGTGTCTTTAATGATAACTAGGGTAACAGTTTGGCCCCTCTCTCACTAGAGCAGATAAAGAAAAGTACATGTTTAATCAACAGAATGGCACAAAAATGAATGATCCAATCATAATTCGACCCCCAAGACAGTGCAGGTTGTAATGCATACGAAGGTACTACTCAGCTGCAAACAATAAGGAAAAAAGTTGGGATGTTAACTTTATCAATGATAATTTAATTACAAATATTGGAGTTTTCTCCAGTTTGGCCAATATTTTCTTATGTCTGTGAACTAATAGGAATAAAAGCAAATGTAATTAACATTCTTATATTTGCTATAAAGTTTTTGATTTTATAATTTTTTCGATCCAAAAGTTACCACAGGCTGAGTGTGGTGTCTCATGCCTGTAATCCCCAGTGCTTTGAGAGGCTGAGGCAGAAGAATCACTTGAGGCCAGGAATTTGAGACCAGACTGTGCGGTATAATGAGATCCCCTTTCTAATTTTCTTTTAGATTAGCTGAGTATGGTGGCACACACCTGTAGTCCTAGCTACTCAGAAGGCCAAGACAGGAGGATAGCTTGAGTCCAGGAGGTTGAGACTGCAGTGAGCTATGATTGCTCCACTGCACTCCAGCCTGGGCAACAGAGCAAGATTTTGTCCCTAAAAATTATTTCTTTTAAGTTATGACAAATAGGAAATATAAAATACAAATGAAAAAATCAGTATGAGGAGCATTTTTCAAGTTTATTAAGATATTAATGCAGGTACCTTATTTTTGGCCAAGTACGGAAAAATTAACTTGGAGGAGAATTGGCAGAATTCGTGATGAGATAGACATAAATTTTAAAAAAATAGAATAAAGTGCCAAGGGTTGTGGCAGGAAAACCAGTGGGAGGATAACCCCAGATTGGGCTCATGAAACCCAGTGTATTTAACTGTTTGCCAGATGGTCCCTTGGGATGAAGTCCTGGTTCATGTTTTTGGAGCTCTAAAATGGCCTCCTGGCCTTCTAGAGAGGTTTCTATTGTCTAATGAGATTTGATCTTCCCTTTCTGAATCCTACAGGACAAAAACTGGCCAAAATTGAGTTTTTTTTAGTTCAGAGAACAGAAAAAAAAGCACAGCTTATAATATTGAACAAGGTTTTTAACGATAGAAAGAGCTGCAGGGTTTCCTGGAATCCAAGACAGTGCGCTTAGCTAAAGCTCGCTTGGGCTTCGTAACCATGGTTTTCCAAGGCTCAACTGCATAAAAATAGAATATTTATTTAAAAAATAAAACATGACAAATAAGCCACTGCTGTTTCTACTTGCTGTGAAAACTGCCTCAAGTCTCCCAAAGCACAAGTCCATATCATCTGGTAAATGTGCCGCACACTTAACGAGGTCCCCTGGTACTGGCTGTCTGCTTCCTCTTAGTCAAAGGGCGACTCTCAAGAGTGCTCAGAGAATGACACTGAGAAACCCTGAAACCTTGAAAGCTGCTCATCAGAGAGCCTTTCTTTGGTATCAAAAGGTCCTCCTCAAGCTGGAGGAAATATCCAGTATCCAAAGAGCCCCCTGTAACTTTCCTTTGACCTCCATCCCTAGACTGGTCCTATGGCAGATGGAAGGCCCACATTCAGATGTCTTTTCTTCATGATCTTGATTTGTGAATACTTGTGGTCAAGGTTTCACATCTCTGACCTCTACCTCAACTTTTCGGTTGAGCCACAGATTTGCAGAAAGAGAAGTAAGTGATTTGGAAAGAGACTTCAATGGTTAGCAGAGGGAGCCTTATAAGGAATAAAATACATGCATGAAGTTTTTTTAAATCATTTTTAAAGGGCAAACTATATTAAGCTGGGAAGAATCCTGATGTCTATGAATATTTGGGTTTCCTTGATTTATTACTTTCAAGGATCTCCTGTTAATCCTAAGGAACTAAAATTTCTCAGGATTAAAGAGTGCCTTGATTAGCATGATAATAAGGAATGTGGCTCTGACACTTATCAGCTATGCATGCTCTCTTGTCTATATTCTTATCTTCAGACAATCCATGGTCCACAGAGACACAGTTTAGAAAGCTTCATAAAGAATGTTTACAGTTACTTACCATGCTGCACACATCACAAACAACTTTTCCTGTCAAGAAATGGTCTCTGATGTCTAACACAAAATTTATTTCTTGCAACCTCATCTGATTTTCTTTCATATCATGCACTGAGGAGTTGAAGCACAGCCATGCACCAATTTCTTATAAATACTCTTTGTAGATTTTCTTATGAAAAGGGGTATATTTCTGAAAAATAGATAAATTGAATTTAATTTTAAAAGCACTAAAGAAGCTTACCTTTGAAATTCACCCAATAGTAAATCATTTTGTGATGTGGATTCATTTGCTTTACTTCCAACAAATTGTACTTTTGAAGTAATTCCATCATTATATTTCTAAATTTATCTTTTTTACAATGAACCTATTATGTATTATATAGTGATTACTGATAAGGTAAAGGCTACTAGAAAAGTTTTATTACCAGTGTATTTTTCAATTACTTGTTAATAATGTCATACTTTCTTCTAGTGTTATAATTCCAGTGTTAAAATTTAGCCCAATTATTTAGTTGTTTGTTGCTATCACAGACCTAGACATCATAAAAAGTCAAAGATTAAAAACATTTATGCCTTCTCTTTGAAGAAAATATCATTGTAATGCTCTGGTATTCTACTTTCTAATGGACAATTTGTGTGAAGGAGCAATGACTCGTAATGATTCTACCAGCAGATATTTGTCCCCCATAGTGGAGTGGCCAACCTGGAGTCATAAAAAGAGGGAATACATGGTCCCTGTTCAGCTATAGAGGGGACAGTTTTATAATGCAGTTTTGTGTAGTGGAAGAAACAATGGACATAGGGTCAAAAGATATGAATTCTAGTCTTGGTTTAGTCCTTTGACCCCTGTCTGTCCAAAAATAATTGCCTAACCAGAGCTGTTCTTCAGTTTTTGCATCTAGAGAGAGACAGTTCATCTTTGTCCTCCTTGCTCTGTTGGATGGTAATAAGATTAAATAATGTATGCAAAAATATTTTGTAATCACAATTTCACTGTAAGGGGCTTACAATATAAAAATAAAAAAACACTGAACAGTTCTATGCCACCTACATGTGCAGAGACATGAGACATATAGGCCCCAGAGAGAGAGAGAGAGTAAGGAGAAAAAGATTTTTTTTTTTTTGAGATGGAGTCTTGCTCTGTTGCCCAGGCTTGAGTGCAGTGGTGCGAACTTGGCTCACTGCTATCTCCACCTCCTGGGTTCCAATGAGGAAAAAAGATTTTCTAAAGGACATGGGTTTTATTTGTCTTTGAAAAATGAGTGGTGTCTAGGGAAGAGGAGTGTAGAACAGAGTTGAGAGGAGCAATATCATCAGAGTCAAAATAATGGAATGAAAATGCAGTGTGGAAATTACAGTAACACAGGCTTTATTCAAACTTTAGAAGCTCAAAAATTATCAGGTAGCTATGAAGCCTGGAGTTCTGCATGACACCACTGAACTCGCATTTATTCAATGTTGTTTTTAAAATTCAAATATGAGTATTATAATTAGTATACAATTTTTCCATCAACAATTCTATGATGTTATCACCACTACATCCATAAAGGTGAGGAAACTGGTCTTATAAATTATAAGTCCTTGCCCAAGATAAGTTAGCATATGCAAGAAGTAGGAAATTAGTTTACAACATTTGACTTTAAAAGCCATGTACTTTCTTCTGAATGAGGAAAGAACGTTTCTCCACTCTCTACTCCTAAAAGAAATAAGTATGAATGTAAAAAAGCAGAGACCTAAGGTGTATTAATCACAGGAATTTTCCCAGCCTATTATTTGACAGAAATCATCCATCTAGGTTCCTTACATTATTTTTTTCTTTCTCAGATATCATGTGTGATTTAATGAAGAAAGAGAATCACTCTTTGATGAATGTGTTTATTTTTCAAGGTTTCTCCAGCTTCCGTGAGCACAAGCTCACCCTCTTTGTTGTGTTTCTTACGTTGTACATATTCTCCCTGGCAGGCAATGTTATCATTGTGAGTATCATTAGTATTGATCGTCACCTCCACACCCCCATGTACTTCTTCGTCAGCATGCTGTCAGGTTCAGAGACTGTCTACACCCTTGTCATTATACCAAGGATGCTGTTTAACCTCATAGGCCTGAGTCAGCCCATTTCCTTGGCAGGTTGTGCCACTCAGATGTTTTTCTTCATTACTTTGGCTATCAACAACTGCTTCCTGCTCACAGCAATGGGGTATGACCGCTATGTGACCATCTGCAACCCCTTGAGGTACTCAGTCGTCATGAGCAAGAGAGTGTGTATGCAGCTGGTGTGAGGGGCCTGCAGCATTGGCCTAATTGTAGCAATGACACAGGTGTCAGCTGTATTCAGGCTGCCTTTCTGTATTCCAAAGGTGCCTCACTTCTTCTGTGACATCCGACCTGTAATGAAGCCCTCCTGCATTGACACCACAGTCAATGAAATCCTGACTATGATCATCAGTGTGCTGGTGATCCTCATTCCCATGGGCTTGGTTTTCATCTCCTACATCCTCATCATTTCTACCATCCTCAAGATTGCCTCTGCCGAGGGCAGGAAAAAGGCCTTTGCCACCTGTGCTTCTCATATTACTGTGGTTATTGTCCACTATGGCTGTGCCTCCATTGCTTACTTCAATTCCAAGTCAGAGAACACAGAGATCAGGATCAGCTGATCTCAGTGACCTACACTGTCATTACCCCGTTACTGAACCCTGTGGTGTACACTCTGAGGAACAAAGAGGTCAAAGATGCTCTGTGCAGAGTGATAGGTCAAAAATTCTCCTAAGAGAATAGGCCCATTTCAAATAGTGTCTTAGAAGATTTTCTAGAGAAGAAACAGTGGAACAGTGTGCATGGTCAATAGAGTTAAAAATTTCAAGCCTATCAAGCAGTGGTTGGGCGAGAGGAAGAGAAAACAAAAGGATTCAGCCACTTGAGAAGGGGGAAGGTTCTCCAAAGCACAGCGGGCCTCCATCTCATAAGAGAACAGGGATTTTATAGGTTACAAATGCAGAAGAAAGAACTCAGTGGTGTTGGAAAGTAGAAGCGTTGTGTGGGCAGCCTGGGACAGAATGAAATCAGGAGAGGAGACAGAGTTAATGAGGGGAGGCTGCTCTAGGGCAAGGTTCAAGTTTTTTTTTTTTTTTTTTTTTTTTTTTGAGACAGAGTCTTGCTCTGTCACCCAGGTTGAAGTGCAGTGGTGTGATCTCGGCTCACTGCAAGCTCTGCCTCCCGGGTTCACGCTATTCTCCTGCCTTGGCCTCCCAAGTAGCTGGGACTACAGGTGCCTGCCACCATGCCTGGCTAATTTTTTTTATTTTTATTAGAGACAGGGTTTCACCGTATTAGCCAGGATGGTCTGGATCTCCTGACCTCGTGATCCGCCCGCCTTGGCCTCCCAAAGTGCTGGGATTACAGGCGTGAGCCAGCGTGCCTTGCCGGTTCAAGTTTTAAATATATTCTATAACACTGTTTTTTGGATGTGGTGTTTCCCCTTACCCATTTAGCGCTAAGTAGATTTAACACCTAATTGAATTAATTTCTTTATGGGAAATTTAAGATTTTTTAAATCGACTAGACACTATAAATAAAATGAGTATCAGAGATAATAGCAATCTATAAAATTCAGCAGCCCTTGAAATCTAGGTCTTTTTTATATAAGTTCCAAATTGACCATGTGAGAAAATGGATATCTAAGTTTTCAGGATCCTGTTTTAGAAATATTTTTGGAAAGTAACTAAAACCCCTTGGTGATAGAGTAAAAGAGGTAGCACCAAGTAATAATATTGGCATTTATTTTATGAGAATATACAAAGGTTGTTGGTGATATTGTATGTGAGTGTCTAAACCCAGGGTAAAGAAATTAAAATTTGCCTTTAGAAATCCTTGCAGAACAGAAAGAAGCAACTAGTGGATGAGAGTCAAACAGGGAATCTAGAGCATGGATTAATGGAATGAGAGGATTGGGAGGATTAAACGGGTAAGGAAAATGTAGCCATCTAGTAACTCAGTAATTCAACAAAAGAAAAAGACTCATCAAACCATCAATCCTACCATTTAAAATCC
The DNA here is from genome assembly GCF_000001405.40 of Homo sapiens. Classification (NCBI taxonomy): domain Eukaryota; kingdom Metazoa; phylum Chordata; class Mammalia; order Primates; family Hominidae; genus Homo; species Homo sapiens. Next base: position 120,196 of record NW_025791759.1, read on the forward strand.
TCTAGGATGTGAACTAATACACCATGCTTCACCAGTCATCTCCACTTCCAGCAACTCCTTTCCCTACAGTCTGTCGTCCACATCCACATAGCGCACAATCCAACAATACCTAGTGACTGATCGTTTCCCATTTTATTCTTATGCCTTAATACAGCTTGTTGGTAATGAAAATCTCTTACTGATGCCCTCACTGCCCACTCATCAGAGTGTTCTCTGGTTCACTTTGAAATAACCTGAACACCTCTATTTTTATGAACCCTCTGATGAGATACCCACAAAGAAACAAAAGCACTCCTTCCACGCCTTCACATCACAACCTCCAAACACATATTGATATAAATGACCACAATGAACATTTCCCATGATGTCTTAACGGATGAAAGCATGAAATGGGTAGTGTGTGATGTTGTAACTGGGTGAAGTCTTACCTAGATGGACAGTTACACCTGCTGTTTAGTGTCTCACTTGTACCAAGTGATGAGTTTTTCATAGGACACATTCTCCTTTATGTTAATTTCAAAAGTTAGGGCTATGTTCAAATATCTTAATTTATCAAATAGTCCGTTATGGTTTAGTCTTACAAAGATTCAACTACATTTTTGAGGAAATTTATGGTGAAATCCAAGAGAATCCAAAATGAAGTTACCCTGTAATTGCCAGTGGTCGCTTTTACTTTTACTCAGTAAATAAAAATATCTTATTTTTATTTCAAATTGTAGCCTCAAAAATGCTGCCCTATACCGTCAGCCTTCTCAGTAATAGATAATCTATATTTGCAAACTTAGCTACTTAAAATATTAGGCAGAAGTTTTGAGAGAGCAGCAGAATGAAGCAGAAAGAACATAAACATTTGAAGAAAAATACTCTATTTTCAGGCCTGGCTCTATTTTTTATAAACCATATATATTTGAATGAACTATTTAATTTATTTGAGCCTCAGTTTTCTCACCTGTAAAACTTATATTCAAAGTTTGTTGTCAAACACATTAAATAATAAGTATAAAAATATTATGAAGCAGGGTCAGATATTCTTTATTCTTGTTAGAGTAAAACAGCTACACTCCCCATAAAGTGAATCTTTTCTTATCTGCAAAATGGATTTACTAATCTTTACTCTGCTTTTTTCTGTCAGGTTCTTGTAAGAATCAACCACTTTAGAATAACCACAGTAGAAACTGCTGTGATAACGCAAAAAGTGTTAAGAAATATTATGTATGATTATCATTATCGCCACTGTTATTAGCTAACATAGTCCATATATGTTTGCCTCTCTGATTTTTCTTGGCCATTTTATATTATTTTATTAATTAATTTTTGACTCTTACCTTCCTCCCACATACCTTTAAGTTCTAATTGCTATCGCATTTTTCATTAACTCTGCAGGTCATATTATTTTGGTTCCTTACAAAATAACATTTCCAAAACTTTTCATTATTATATTTTGTTAGCAATTCCAGAATTTAATGCCTATCCTCCTGCTCCAAATTGAGCATCTTTTTTCTTTCCTACTAGATCAGTGAATGTTAATCTCTTTATCATGATCCATGGCCCCCAATACAAAAATGCATGTTATCACATAACCCAGTATGTGTGTTATACACACATATACAAACTAAAATGCTACATTCACAAAACAGTACTTAGCCTTACAGCATGCAATGCATTCTGATGTTTCTCATTAAAGTCTATTCTGTTCAATTCTTTTTATTTTTGTAATAATGTTAATGAATAGAAGTGCATCTAATATACATTTTGACCAAATGCTCAATAAGTGAGAGTTAAAAATCTGTGTTCAGCTGAAGTCAGAGTTGATGCCCAATATCAGCAGACTGTTTTCCTGTGTTACTAAAATAAAATTGAAATCTTATTTTAAAACAATGAAATTTAATTATTAAACATTTAGTAATTGAGTTTAAACATTTGAATTATTTGAGGAAGAACATTTAGTCTTCATTGTCAGATTCTAGAGTCTTCTAACAGTCATTAAAACACATATTCATGATACCAGGTACATGTTCACTTTTCAACTGAGAAACTGAGATTGGTGGCACAGCAAAATATCTTGGGGGGAAATAGCTTATTTTTCTGTAGCTTTTTTTCTTCTTTTTTTTGTAAATATGGATTAAAAATAATTTATCTTGGATATTATCTTTTATGATTTTGGTGGCAAAATTAGAATCCTGTGTAAATTCATCTGGAAAAGTTGTAAAGATTCATGGCTTAAGTGGATTTAAGAAGCTAAAAATTAATACAGTGTTTAAAACTAGTTCAATATTGCCAAACAATTTTAATTTTATAAATATTTATTGAGTCTACAAGGATATAATATGCTTTCTAAAGCTATCTAATAACCAACACACTATCTCTTATATTTAAGTGAAGTAGTCATTTCTTTTCCCATTTATTTTACTACATAAAACTCTTAAGTTTGTCCAGAAAATTAACAACTCTCACAATTATCATAAATTTATTATTGCATTTTGCTCTTTCAATAATAAATATAATGTATATTTTAATTGACTGATAAAATTTCAACAAATAAAGCATATAAAGCTAACTCTAAGTGAGAGAATGACTAACTATATTTGACAATGCATGTTCAAATTTTTAAAAATCCAAATGACTCTCTTTATTCAGATTACTGATGCTGTTAGACTGATTAGAGCTAATAACCTATGGTATCACGTGATAATTTTTTCATCTAAATATTTAGAGATGCCCAAAAAATGCCACGGAAGAAGGTTTTCAGCCATTGAGTTTAAAGGGTGAAGCCAATATAGCAAACAAATAGCAGATTTTTTTCTAAATACCAAAAGCAAATTACACTGATGTATCCCTAGCATGACCCACTACATTCAAGGAAAACAAAGAATATGGACGCCGTAAGAGAATATTCCAAGTGAGTGATTCACTGAGTTGGCTGAAATGGTAGGCAAGCATCTGAGAAGTAGGCCTCCTCTTCTTTTTATTCTTTTATTCTGAAATGATGGTATATTAATCAGTATTTTTCTGATTCAAAAGCCGTACATTCTCTGTGAAAAAATTCAGACAACTGTAAGGAAGAAAATGGAAACTCTGGGCTTTGGATGTTTACTATGGCACACTGAGTACAGATATCATTTCTTCTCTCTGTACTCCCCAACCCTGCCCCTACCAAACCCTAGAAGTGATAGGAAAGATTTAAGTAGTATTTTGGCCAGTGCTTAAAAACAAAAACGGAATTCCTAATGAACCAGCAACTATGAGGTAAGAAATGAAGACTCAAAACAATGCAGTTAGATTGATGAGCCATCTCAGAAGTATATGAGAGTTAAAAGTGGAGTCCAGTAACAAAAGTTGAGGCCAACACAAAAGTTTCTTCATATCCTGAGGTGAAGAAAAATAAAAAATAATTTAGGACTCCAGGGGAAATTAACAGGGGATATTAGCCCAGAGAAAGTAGTCCTCCCCATCACATCTTGCTCCCAGACAAGCAGAAATAGACAGTGTTGGTGGTTTCCAGTTGAGAACTATGCTTGGAAAGAGGGGCATGGCAGAGCACAAGAGTTTGGCAATAACAAAGATGTAGGGGATAAAGAACAGGACAAAAATGCAGGAGAAAACAACTAGATACTAGAAGTATTGAGCTAAAAAGTATTATTATTTTATTTTTTATAAAAGTATTTGTTATAAGAAAAGTAAACTCAAATCTCTCATCCATCATAAAGCTACACATACTGGATAATACCATTATTTAGAACAAACAAAATTATAGGAATTATGTTCAATATAATTTAAAGGTAGAGAGAATTCTGATTAAATACAGATGTTAAATGCCCATTATTTGCTTCTTTTTCTTAAGAACCCTGTTAAACTTGAGTTAAGAAAGAAGATAGACTCACTTCCATAGCAAAAGAGAATAGAAGATGAAAGCAAATGGAGCTCAACAAAATTTTGGAATCTGGAAAGCCCATTAATAAACCATTATTGACTCAGCACATAGGAGAATGCTGATTAAAGCCTGAGGCAGAGAAAACAACAAAAATGCCAATTTATCACCCAGAATGCCAGAAGTATTCAAAAGCCGAAAGTAGTATCTCTGAACATAAGACTGTGCAATTGGCATAACAAACCAGAGTTGCTTGAAAGTTTTTAAGACACGTCGCACAATCAGAACCTCACCCCAACCTCAGCAGAAGGCTGGAGAGTTACTTTCCGGAAAGACTTGCAGAGATGAAGTGAAGCAGAGGGTGCTATGGAATAATAATTTTTAAAAAGGTGGAGGAGAGGTAAAAGAACACCAGCAAATCTCACAAGATACTGACAATAAGGGTTATAGCTATCAATTAGGAAAGTGAAGAATTTTGCCCTGTGGAAACCAACCCAAATGTCCATCAGTGATAGACTGGATTAAGAAAATGTGGCACATATACACCATGGAATACTATGCAGCCATAAAAAAGGATGAGTTCATGTCCTTTGTTAGGGACATGGATGAAACTGGAAACCATCATTCTCAGCAAACTATTGCAAGGACAAAAAACCAAACACTGCATGTTCTCACTCTTAGGTGGGAACTGAACAATAAGAACACGTGGACACAGGAAGGGGAACATCACACACCGGGGCCTGTTGTGGGGGTGTGGGGACGGGGGAGAGATAACATTAGGAGATATACCTAAGGTAAATGATGAGTTAATGGATGCAGCACACCAACATGGCACATGTATACATATGTAACAAACCTGCACATTGTGCACATGTGCCTTAGAACTTAAAGTATTAAAAAAAAAACTACAAAAAATAAAAATAAAAAATAAATAAAACTCAGAACACAGCCAGGCACAGTGGCTTACATTTGTAATCCCAGCACTTTGAGAGGCTGAGGCAGGTGGATCACCTGAGGTCAGGAGTTCAAGATCAGCCTGGCCAACATGGTGAAACCCCGTCTCTACTAAAAATACAAAAATTAGCTGGGCATGGTGGCACGTGCCTGTAGTCCCAGCTACTAGGGAGGCTGAGATGGGAGAATCTCTTGAACTGGGGAGGCAGAGGTTGCAGTGAGCCTAGATGGTGCCACTGCACTCCAGCCTGAGCAACAAAGGGAGACTCTGTCTCAGAAAAGAAAAAAAAAACTCAGAATACATCATCCCAAAAAAGCAATGTCACTAGCAACATGGTAAACATTAAATTCTCAATCTGTGTGTTGTGTGAAAAAAAAAGAATAAAAAATAAAAATAAATTTGCAGACTAAAAAAAAAACAACAGAATTTTGCCCTGTGGAAATTAGCATTTCAAGGGCAAAGACTTACAAATCTAGACACTTTGAAGTCCTATTTTGGAAAAGTAACCTTACCCTAATAAAACTAGCTTCATCACATTGCTTGGTTTTATCACGCTAGTAAATAAAGCCCAGCAGTCTGCATATCCCACCCCACCACACACACACATCTACATGCACACAGAGCTTTCTAACAATTTGTTAGTACATCACTCTTAGTTATTAATGGACTTGAAAGGATCACCACAATTTGAAGAAAGCCATTAACTTAAAAAAATCAATGTAATAAATAAATAACAAAGAAACGTGGGAGAATAAGCTATAGTGCATGGTATAAAGTCTTTTGAAAGATAAGTATTTAACATTTTTAAAAGGATAAGACAAGATAATGGTGAAATAAAGCAGAATATTATACAAAAGCCAAGTTCTGAGACGCAGAAAGAAATTTTACAAATTAAAAAAATACGTTAGCAGAGACAGTGTGAGGGGAAGATGGCTGAGTAGGGAGTACTAGGAAAGTGTTTTCCCACCTAGAAAACAACTATGCTGGCAGAATCTGTCTGATGTAAATATTTGGGAACTATGGCGTCTATTAAAGGCTTGCAACATCCAGAGGAAGGTATGAACTATAGTTAATTCTAGTCAATTTCAGCTTTAAGGACAGTAGCAGCTACCCACCTGCCCACAACCAGCCACCTGGAAGACAACCTTGCACCTGTGCCGGGAGCAACCTGCACACAGCTTGCAGGAGCCAGGGTTACCCTGTCTTGCAAATATCAGGGATCTGTGCTCTGATCACTGATTGTTACTTCTGATCATAGACATACAAACAAAGAAGTAAGAGTTGTTCCATCTCCCCTGTGTTATTGCAAGCTCCTCCTTCAGCTGATGTGACTTCCAGGGGATTTAAAGGGTCAGCACCTCTCCTTCTCTTTCATTTTTCTTTGTTTTTCCTTTGGAGAGTCAGACATTAAAGACTAGGGCATTCAAAACCAACTGCATTTACAGGGAAAATTAGAAAGTAATCATCCATGCTCAGGGAAGGGTGCAGGCTCAGAAAAGACTTCAGAAGACCTTAAGTTTATACCCCAGGCTGATCTTTGGGACAAAGCTTACAATAACAACAACAATAATAAAAATAACAAAAAACAGCAAACTCTGGGAAAGAAAATAGTCTAATTTCTAGAGTTACCACATTATTAGATTCATGTCCAATAATCAATAAACAATGAAAAGGCATAAAAAAACAGGAAAGTATGTCCCATTCAAAGGAAAAAAAATAATGGAAACTTTCTCTGAAAAAGACATAATGGCAGGTCTACTAGACAAAACCTTTAAAACAATTGTCTTAAACATGCTCAAAGAGCTAAAGAAAGATATAGGGAAAGTCAAAAAATGCCATATGAAAAATTAGAAATATTAAGAGAAAACCTAAAAGGAAAAAGAAATATTAGAGTTGAAAATTACAATAAGTAAAATGAAAATCCATTTGAGGAAGTAAAAGATTTGAGCAGGCAAAAGAAAGAATCAGCAACTTGAAGATAGGACAATGAAAATCACTGAGTCTGGAAAAAAAAATTGAAGAACGGTAAACAGGGCCTCAGAGTCCTATGAAACACCATTAAGTGGACCAGTATACATGCTGGGAGTTCCAGAAGGAAAATGGATAAAGGGGTTGGGGGACTATCTCAGAAATAATGATGGAAAACTTTCCAAATTTGGTGAAAGATGTTAATATAAATATCCAAGAAGCTTAAAAAAGTATAGACTCATACCAATACACATTATAATCAAACTTTCAAAAGCCAAAGACAAGACTATCTTTAAAGCAGCACGAAAAAAGCTACTGTCACATACAAACTATCCTCAATGACATTGTCATCAGACTTTTCATTAGAAACTTTGGAGGTCAGAAGGTAGTGGGCCAATATATTCAAAGGGCTAAATGAAAAGAACATCAACACAGAATTCTATATCCAGGGAAACTTTCCTTCAAAAGTAAAATAAAAAATGTTTAAAACTTTTTATTTTTTATTTCAGTACATTTTGAGGGGACAGGTGTGTTTGGTTACATGAATATGTTATTTAGTGGTGATTTATGATGTTTTGGTGCACCCATCACCTGAGCAGTGTACACTGTACCCGGTGGGTGGTCTTTTATACCTCACCACCTCCCACTCTCTCCTCTGAGTCCCCAAAGTCCAATTTATCATTCTTATGCCTTTGCATCCTCACAGCTTAGCTCCCACATATGAGTGACAACATACGATGTTTAGTTTTCCATTCCTGAGTTTCTTCACTTAGAAAAATAGTCTCCAATTCCATCGCGGTTGCTGCAAATGCAACTATTTTGTTCCTTTTTATGGCTGAGCAGTATTCCATGGTGTGTGTGTGTGTGTGTGTGTGTGTGTGTATACATAAAATATATATATATGTGTAATATAGTTTACCACATTTTCTTTATTCACTTGTTGATTGATGGCATTGGGGCTGGTTCCATATTTTTGCAATTGCAAATTATGCCACTATAAACATGTGTGTGCAAGTATCTTTTCTGTATAATGACTTCTTTTCCTCTGGGTAAATACCTAGTAGTAAGATTGCTGAATCAAATGAAAAATGTACTTTTAGTTTTTTAAGGAATCTCCACACAGTTTTCCATAGTGGTAGTACTAGTTTACATTCCCACCCACAGTGTAGAAGTGTTACCTTTTCATCGCTTCCATGTCAACATCTATTATTTTTTGAATTTTTGATTATGGCCATTATTGCAGGAGTGAAGTGGTATTGCATTGTGGTTTTGATTTGCATTTCCCTGATAATTAGTGATGTTGAGCATTTTTTCATATGCTTATTTTCCATTTGTATATCTTGTTTTGAGAAATGTCTGTTTATGTCCTTAGCACACTTTTTGTTGGGATTGTTTCTTTTATTCTTGATGATTTGTTTGAGTTCTTTGTAGATTCTGGATATTAGCCCTTTGGCTAATGTATACATTGTCAAAATTTTCTCCCACTCTGTGGGTTGCCTTTTAACTCTGCTTATTATTTCTTTTGCTGTGTAGAAGCTTTTCAGTTTAATTAAGTCCCATCTATTTATCTTTGTTTTTGTTGAATTTGCTTTGGAGATCTTGGTCATGAAGTCTTTGTCTAAGTAAATGTCTAGAAGGGTTTTTGTGATGTTATCTTCTAGAATCTTTATGGTTTCAGGTCTTAAATTTAAGTCTTTTATCCATCTTGAGCTGATTTTTTTGTAAAGTGAGAGATGAGGATCCAGTTTCATTCTTCTACATGGTGCTTGCCAATTATCCCAGCACCAGTTGTTGAGTAGGGTGTCCTTTCCCCACTTTATGTTTTTGTTTGCTTTGTCAAAGATACCCAAAGTATCAAAAGCTGAGAGAGGTGGTTGCCACTAGACTAACCTGTGAGAAATGCTCAAGGTAGTCCTATAGAGTAAAATGAAAGGAAACTAGATAGTCACTCAAAGCAAAATAATTAAAAATCTCAATAAAGGTAAATACATGGACAATTATAAAAACTATTATTTTAACAATGGTTTGTAACTCTGCTTTTTGCTATGTACATGACTTAACTAAACAATACATTAAAAAATATTTATCTGAAAGTTAGTATTATTGTATCTTTGGTTTATAACTTTGCAATTTGTTTTCCACATAATTTAAGAGACTAATGCATTTTAAATGATTATTAATTTATTGTTTTGGATACACAGTGTATAAAGATAAAATTTCATGACATCAACAGACAAAAGATTTGAAAATGGAACTGTTAAAGGAGCAGAGATTTGTATGTTATTGAAATTAAGCTGACATAGATTCAAATTAGAGTGTTATAACTTTAGGGCATTAAATGTAATCCCCATGGTAGCCACGTATCTCAGAGATATTGTGGGTTTGATTTCAGACCACTGCAGTAAAGCAAATATCACAATAAAGTGAGTCACACAAATTTTTGGCTTCTCAATGAATATAAAAGTTATGTTAAACTATACTGTAGTTTATTAAGTGTGTAATAGGATTATGTCTTAAAGACAATGTATAGACTTCAATTTTAAAATACATTACTGTTTTAAAAAATGCTAACAATCATCTGAAACTTCAGCGAATCTTTGTGCTAGTAGAACATTTTGCCTCAATGTTGATGGCTGTTACTGAGCAGAGTGGTGGTTGCTGAAGATTGGGTTTGCTGTACCAATTTATTAAAATGAGACAACAATAAAGATTACCACATCAATTGATTTTTTTTTAGAGACAAGGTCTTGCTCTGTCATCCAAGCTGGAGTACAGTGCTGTGATCATAGATCACTATAGCTTTAAAGTTCTGAGCTCAAGAGATCCTCCCACCTCAGCCTCTTAAAAAACTGGGACTACTGGTGTGAGACACCACACCTGGCCAATTTTATTTATTTATTTGTAGAAATGGGGTCTCATTACATCGCCCTGGCTGGTCTTGAACTTCTGGCTATAAGCTATCTTCCTGCCTCCACCTCCCAAAGTGCTGGGATTACAGGTGTGAATCACCTCGTCCAGGCTTAATTGACTCACAAAAGATTTCTCTGTAGCAGGCAATGCTGTTTGATATCACTTGACCTACAATAGAATGTCTTTCAAATTGGAAGTTAATTCTCTCAAACCCTGCCATTTGTTTAACAACTAAGTTTTAGGGAATATTTTAAATCATTTGTTGTTGTTTTAATAATGTTCACAACCTCTTCACTAGGAGGAGATTCTATCTCAAGAAACTACTTTATTTGCTTATCCATAAGAAGCAACTCCTCATTTGTTAAAGTTTGATTATGAGAAGGCAGCAATTCAGTTATATATTCGAACTCCACTTCTAATTCTAGTTTTCTTCCTATTTCCACCACATCTACACCATGAGAATTGAAATAAGCTTCCTCTAAACTCCTGTTAATGCTAATATTGTGACCTTTTCTCATAAATAATGAATGTTCATAATGACATATAGAATGGCAATTTCTTTTCAGAAGGTTTTCAATTTGCCTCACCCAGATCCATCAGAGGAATCATTATCTATGGCAGCTATTACCTTATGAAATGTATTTTTGAATAATAAAGCTTGAAAGTCAAAATCACTTCTTGATAGATGGGCTGAAGAATGAATATTGTGTTAACAGGCATGAAAACATTATTCTCCTACCATGACTACACCAGAACTCTTGGGTGACTAGGTGCATTGTCAATATTTTGAAAGATATCTTTTTTTTTTTCCTGAGCAGTAGATCTTAAGACAGACTTACCATATTCAGCAAACCATGGTTTAAACAGATGTGTTGTAATTCAGGCTTTGTTCTTCCATTTATAGAGCATAGGCAGAGTAGATTTAGCATAATTCTTAAGGGTGTTAGAATTTTCAAAGTGGTAAATAACCATTGGCTTCAACTTAAAGTCAACAGCTGCATTCATCCCCTAGCAAGAGAGTCAGTTGTCCCTTGAAGCTTTGAAGCCAAGCATTGGCTTCTCCTCTGTAGCTATGGAAGTCCTAGACAGCACTGTCTTCCAATGGAAGGCTATTTTTAAAATATGTTGTTTAATGTAGCCATCTTCATCAATTATCTTAGCTATATTTTCTGGATCATTTGCTCTAATTTTTGCATCAGCACTCCTGAATTACCGTGAACTTTTATGTTATGGAGACAATTTATTTCCTTAAATTTTATAAACGAAATTCTGCTAGCTTAATATCTTCTTCTGCAGTCTCTTCACCTCTCTTAGCCTTCATAGAATTAAACAGACTTAGGGTCTTGCTCTTAATTAGGCTGTAGCTTAAAGGAATGTTGTGACTGGTTTGCTCTCCTATACTGACTTCTAAAAGTTTCTTCATATCGGTAATAAGGCATTTTCACTTTCTTATTTGTGTGTTAACTGATGTAGCAAATTTAATTTCCCTCAAGAATTTTTTTCTTTGCATGCACATCTTGGCTAACCATTTGGCACAAGAGGCCTAGATTTTGGCCTATCTCAGCTTTTGACCAGGCTTCCTCACTAAGCTTAATTATTTCTAGATTTTGATTTAAAGTGAAACACACTCAACTCTTTCACTTAAACACGTAAAGTTGACTGTAGGGTTACTAATTCATCAATTTTCAATATTGTTATGTCTTAGTGAATAGGGAAGCCTGAGGAGAAGCAGAAAGATGGGAAAATGGCCAGTCAGTGGAGCAGTCAGAACACACACAACATTTATCAATTAAGTTTGCTGTCTTATATAGGTTCAAACAAAACAATTATAATAGTAACATCAAAGATCACTTATCAAAGATCACCATAGCAGATATAATAATAATGAAAAAGTTTAAAATATTGTCAGAATTACCCAAATGTGATACAGAGACATGAAGTGAGCACACACTGTTGAAAAAGATGGTGCTAATAGCCTTGCTCAATACAAGATTCACAAACTTTCAATTTATAAAAAACACAATATCTGTGAAGTGCCATAAAGCAAAGTGCAGTAAAATAAATTATGCCTGTAGTATAGAATATATACACAAATAAATGAGAAAAGAGTTTAATCATTTCACTATAAAAAATTATCTAAACACAAAAGAAGACTGCAGTGCAGGAAATGAGGAACAAAAAGCCTATAAGGCATATAGTAAACAAATAAGAAATGACAGGAGTAAGTTCCTCTTTATCAGCAATTACTTTAAATGTAAATGAATTAAACTTCCTAATCAAAAGATCAGATTGGTAGAATGGATTAAGAAAATATGCTCCAATTGTATGCTGTCTACAAAACACTCTCTTTAGATCCAAAGGCAAATATACATTAAAAATAAAATGAGAGAAAAAATATTTTATGCAAATAGTAACCAGAAGAGAGCAAATATGGTTGTACTAATTTCAGATGAAATAGACTCTAAGTAAAAAAAAAAATTACGAGAGACAAAGAAGGACATTATATATTAACAAAAGATTTAACGCAACAAGAAGATGTAACAATTATAAACATTTAAGCACCTAATGACATCTAAGCACCTAATATATATAAATATTTATGTATGAAAAGCTGATGGAATTGAAGGGAGAAATAGGGAGTTCTACAATAATAGTTGGAGACTTCACTATCCCACTGTCAAAAATAGATAGAAAAACCAGACAAAAGATAAGTCAGAAAATAGAATACTTGAACAGCACAATGAACCAACTAGATCTATCAGACATTTATGTAACACTGTACTCAACCATAACAGCATACACATTATTCTCAAGTGCAAGTGGGACATTTTCCAGATTAGAACACAAACTAAGTCTCAGTAGATTTAAAAATATAGATATCATACAATGTATCTGCTCTGCCCAAAACAGGATGAAATTAGATATCAATAACAAAAGTAAAATTGGAAAGTGCATAAATTTGTGGATATTAAAAAACGTGCTCTTAAACAATCAATGGATTAAAGAAGAAATAGCAAAGAAAATTTGAAATTACTTAGCAACAATTGAAAATGGAAACAAAACATACCAAAGTTTATGGAATGGAGCTAAAGCAGTGTTAAGGAGAAAACTTCTACCTATAAACACATTAAAAAACAAGAAAAATCTCAATCAACAATCTAACTTTACAACTTAAGGAACTAGAAAAAGAAAAACAAACAAAACTCCAAGTGAGCAGAGGAAGAAAATAATAAAGATTAGAACAGAGATCAGTGAAACAAACAATAGAAAAACAATAGAGAAAATCAATAAAATTAAAAGTTGGCTTTTTGGAAATTTAACAAAATTGACACACCTTTAGCTAGATGGACTAAGAAAAAAGGAAGAAGACTCAAGTTACTAAAAATCAAACGAAAGTGGAGACATTACTACTCATTCTATAGAAATAAAAAGGATTAGAGGTACTATAAACAATTGTACATCAACAAATTGGATAACTTAAATGAAATGGTTTGTGAACACAAAATCTATCACAATTAAATTAAAAGGAAACAGAAAATCTTATTAAAGTAAGGATATTGAAGCAGTAATCAAAGATCAACTAACACAGAAAAGCTCTGGACTTGAGGCCTTCACTACATTGGTAACTTTTTAAAGAAGAACTAAAACAAATTCTTCTCAAACTTTTTCAAGAATTTGAAAAGGAGAAAACTCTTCCTACCTCCTTCTCTAAGTCCAATTTTACCCTGATACCAAAGCCAGACAAAGACAGCAGAATAAAAGAAAACTACAAACCAATATCCTTTATTAACATTGATGCAAAAATCCTCAATAAAGTGATTACAGACTGAAATCAGCACCATGTTATAAAGATTATACAATATGACCATGTGAGATTTGTTTCTGGAATGTATAAATGGTTTAATACGTAAAAATTGATCAATATAATATAACACATTAACAAATGAATGGAAGGAAACACAAACACCTCAATTGATGAAGAAAAAGCATTTGGTAAAATTCAACACTCTTGCATAATAAAAACTTAACAAACTATTAACAGAAGGAAACTATCTCAACTTAATAAAATTTGTACGTAAAAAATCCACTGTAAACATTATCAATGGTAAAAGAGTGAAAACTTTTTCTCTAAGATCAGAAACAATGCAAGAATACCCACTTTTGACATATCAATTTAACATAGTACTAGAAGCCCTAGTCAGAGAAATTAAGCAACAAACAGAAACACAATGCATCCAAATTGGAAAGAGAGAAGTAAAATTATCTCTATTCACAGACTATATAATTGTATATGTATAAAACACTGTAGATTCCACTGAAAGCTGTCAGAACTATTAAATAAATTCTGCAAAGTAGCAGGATACAAAGTAAACACAAAAGAAGTTACATTTCTATATACTAACAATGAATAATCTGAAAAGACAATTATAAAAACAATTTCATTTACAATACCTCAAAAAGAAAAAAATACTTAGAAATTAATTTAACCATGGAAGTGAAAGACTTGTACAATTAAACTACATAATTTTCCTGAAAGAAATTAAGGACAGCATAAGTAAATGGAAACATATTCTATATTCACGAAATGGGAGACTTACTATTTTTAAGATGTCAGTATACCCAATGCCATCTACAGATTAAATGCATTTCCTACCAAAATTTCAATGGCATTTTTTGAAAAAGTAACAAAAATTCATTCTAAAATTTATATGAAATATTAAGGAACCCCAAATAACCTAACAATCTTGAAACAGAAGATCAAAGATGGAGGATTTACACATACTGATTTGGAAACTATACTACAAAGCTATAATAAAGCACTGTGGTATTGACATAATTATAGGCATACAGGCAAATGGAAGAGAATAAAGAATTCAGAAAACAGCTCCAGCATATGTAGTTGAATTTTTATAAAGATGCCAAGACCATTCATTGGGAAAAGGACAGTCTTTCCAACAGTGCTGGGAAAACTGAATTTCCACAACAAAACAATGAAGCTGAACCTTTACCTAACATTATATACAAAAATTAACTCAAAATGGATCAAAGACTTAAAGGCTTGGTGGAAGAAATTTCTAAGCAGCAAAGTATTCAGGAAGTAGCATGGCTGCTTCTAACAGCCTATGCTCAGATGTGGGAGCAAAAAAAGTAAGTTGGAAATTATATTTAAAGGGAAGCAGAGAGTAAAATTTGAAAAATTTGCAGCCTAGCCATGTGGCAGAGAAATAAAAAGCTTTTTCAGGAAAGGAGTTCAAACAGGCTCTAGAGAAACGACATTTTAGAGATATTTTCATAAATAAGAAGAAGCCAAGTGCTGATAGCCAAGACAATGGGATAAAGGACTTGAAAGGATTTTTGAAACCTTCACGTCAACTCCTGCCATGAAAGATTCAGAGGCCTAGAAGGGGAAAATGGTTTCATACACCAGACCCAGAGCCCTGCTGCCCTGTGCAGCCTCAAGAAACTGCTCTCCAAATCCCAGTTGCACTGTCTTCAGCATTGACTCAAAGGGCCCCAGATACAGACCCAGCTGCTGCTTTGGAGCATGAAAGCCATAAGCCTTGGCAGTTTCTATGTGGTGTTAAGCCTTTGGGTTTACAGAGTGCAAGAGTTGAGGCTTGGGAGTCTCTGCCTAGGTTTTACAGTATGTATGAAAAAGCCTGGGTGTCCAGGCAGAAATCTGCTGCAGGGAGCCCTCATGGAGAACCTTTACCAAAACAGTGCAGAGGGGAAATGTGGGGTTGAAGCTCCCACATAGAGTTCCCACTGGGGCACTGCCTAGTGGAGGTGTGGGAAGAGGGCCATCATCTTCCAAATCCGAGAATGGTGGATACACTCACAGCTCACACCCTTCACCTGGAAAAGCCACAGGTGCTCAACTCCAGCTCATAAGAGCAGCAGTGAGGGCTGAACCTTGCAAAGACACAGGGATAAAGTTGTCCAACGCCTTAGGAGCCCATCTTATTCACCAGTGTACCCTGGATGTGGAACATAGAGTCAAAGAAGATTATTTTGGAGCTTTAAGATTTAATGACTGTGCTGATGGGTTTTGAACACACATAGGGCCTGTAGCCCCTTTCTTTTTTCTAATTTCTCCCTTTTGGAACGGGAATATTTACCTAATGCTTATACTTCCATTATACCTTGGAAGTAACTAACTTATTTTTTATTTTACAAGCTCATAGGTAGAAGGAACTTGCCTTGTCTAAAATGCCACTTTGAATTTTTGATTTTAGAGTTAATGCTGAAATGGGTTAAGACTTTGAGGGGCTATTGGTAAAGCAATGCATTAGTCTATTCTCACACTGCTAATAAAGACATACCTGAGACTGGGTAATTTATAAAGAAAAGAGGCTTAATTGACTCACAGTTCAGCATGGCTGGGGAAGCCTCAGGAAACTTACAATTATGGTGGAAGTGGAAGCAAACATGTTCTTCTTCACATGCCAGCAGGAAGGAGAATGAGAACTGAGCAAAGTGGGAAGTCCCTTACAAAACCATCAGATCTTGTGAGAACTCATTCACTATCACAAGAACAGTATGAGGGAACATGATCCCATGATTCAATTATTTCCACCTCATCCCACACTTGATATGTGGGGATTATTACAATTCAAGATGAGATTTTGGGTGGGTACACAGCCAACTATATCAGTCAATGACTGTATTCTGAAATGTAAGGAGAACATGAGATTTGGGAGGGGCCAGGGGTGGTATGATATAGTCTGGATATTTGTCAATGGCCAAATCTCATGTTGGATTGTAATCCCTAATGTTGAAGGTGGGGCTGGATAGGAAATAATTGGATCATGGATGGGTGGATTTCTCATGAATGGTTTAGTACCATCTTCTTGGTGCTCTCATTGTGATAGTGAATAAGTTCTCACAAGATCTCATTGTTTAAAAGTGTGTGGTGTCTTCTCTCTCTTTCTCTCTCTGTGTGTGTGTGTGTATCTCTCTCTCTTGCTCCTGCCACATGGGACACCTGCTTCCCCTTTGTCTTCTTCCATGATTTTAAGTGTCCTGAGGCCTTCCTAGAAGCAGATGTCTGTGTTATGCTTCCTGTACAGCCTGTGGAACCATAAGCCAATTAATGCTCTTTTCTTTATAAAATACTGAGTCTCAGGTATTTCTTTATAGCAATGTGAGAACAGCCTAATACACTCAACATCACTAAACTTTATGGAAATGCAAATAAAAACTTCAATGAGATACTTTCTCACACCATTAGAATGACTATTACAAAAAAACAGAAAATAACAAATATTGGCAAAGATATAGAGAAATAGGACAATTTAGCACAGCTGGTGAGAATGTGATATGAGGCACCTGTTGTAGAAAGCAGTATTAAATTTCCTTAAAATTTAAAGATAGAGTTACCATATGACACAGCAATTCCACTTCAAATTATATAACCAAAAGAATTGAAAGTAGAATCCCAAAAAAACAAATGTGCATCCATGTTTACAGCAGCATTATTCACAATAACTAAAACACTGAAGCAATAAAGTGTCCATTGGTGCATGAATGGATAAACAAAATGTGTTATAGGCATATGATGGAATATCATTCAGCCTTTAAAAGGAAATTATTATTTCATTTTATTATTAAATTATTTTCTATTATTATTAAAATATTAATAACATGGATGAACCTTGAGGACATTAATGTTTAGTAACATAAGTAAGCCACAAAAAGGCACATATTGTACAACTCCACTTATGTGAGGTACTTAGAGTAGTCAAAATCATTGAAACAGAAGTAGAGTGGTGGTTCCCAGGAACTAGGGAAAGGAAGAAATGGAGTCATGTGGTTTGGCTGTGTCTCCACCCAAATCTCATCTTGAATTGTAGTTCCCATAATCTCCATATCCCATGGGAGGGACCCAGTAGGAGGTAATTGAATCACAGTGGAGGTCACCCTCATGCTGCTGTTCTCATGACAGTGAGTGAGTTCTCATGAGATCTGGTGGTTTTATAAGGAGATTTCTCCCTTTTGCCTGGCACTTCTTTTTTGCCTTCTACCATGTAAGATGTGCCTTTGCTCCTCCTTCACCTTCAGCCATGATTGTGTGGCCTCCCCAGCCATGTGGAATTGTGAATTCATTAAACCTCTTTTCCTTTATAAATTACCCAGTCTCAGGTATGACTTTATTAGCAGTGTGAGAACAGACTAATACAGTAAATTGGTGCCAGTAGATTGGGGTGCTGCTGTAAAGATACCCAAAAATGTGGAAGCAACTTTGAAACTGGGTAACAAGCAGAGGTTGGGACAGTTTGGAGGTCTCAGGAGAAGGTAGAAAAATGTGGAAAAGTTTGGAACTTCCTAAAGACTTGTTGAATGGCTTTGACCAAAATGCTGATAGTGATATGGACAATAATATCCAGGCTGAGATGGTCTCAGATGGAGATGAGGAACTTGTTGGGAACTGCAGTAAAGGTCACTTTTGGTATGCAAAGAGACTGATGGCATTTTTTCCTTGCTCTAGAGATCTGTGGAACTTTGAGCGTGAGAGAGATGATATAAGGTGTCTGGCAGAAAAAAAAAATTCTAAGCAGCAGGACATTCAAAAGAAAGCAAAAGTTTGAAAAATTTGCAACCTGACAATGCAACAAAAAATAAGAAACCATTTTTCTGGGGAGAAATTCAAGCCTGCTGCAGAAATTTGCATAAAATTTGCGTAAGTAACAAGGAGCCAAATGTTAGTCACCAAGACAATGGGGAAAATGTCTCCAGGGTATGTCAGAGAGCTCCATGGGAGCCCCCTCCATCACAGGCCTAGAGGCCTAGGAGGAAAAATGATTTTGTGGGCTGGGCCCAGGACCCCTCAGCTGTGTGGAGCCTAGGGATTTGGTGGCCTTGCATCCCAGCTGCTACTGTTGTGGCTAAAAGACACCAAGGTACAGCTCAGACCATAGCTTCAGAGGGTGCAAGCCCCAAGCCGTGGCAGCTTCCATGTGGTGTTGAGCCTGTAAGTGCACAGAAGTCAAGAACTGAGGCTTGGAAACTCTGCCTAGATTTCAGAGGATGTGTGGAAACAAGTAAATGTCCAGGCAAAAGTTTGCTAAAGGGTTGGAGACCTCATAGAGAACCTCTGCTAGGACAGTGTGAAAAAGAAATGTGGGGTTGGAGCCCCCACACAGAATCCCCACTGGGGCACTGCCTAGCGGATCTGTGAAAAGAGGCCACTGTCCTCCAGACCCCAGAATGGTAGATCCACCAACAGCTTTTACCAGGTGTCTGGAAAAGTGCAGACACTCAAGACCAGCCCATGAAAGCAGCCAGAAAGGAAGCTGCACCCTGCAAAGCCACAGGGGAGGAGCTGCCCAAAGCTGTGGGAGCCCACCACTTGCATCAGCACACTTTGGATGTGAGACATGAAGTCAAAGGAAATCATTTTGGAACTTTATGGTTTAATGACTGCCCTATTGGATTCTGGACTTGCATGAGGCCTGTAGTCCCTTCATTTTAGCCAATTTCTCCAATTTGGAATGAGTGTATTTACCCCATGCCTGTACCCCCATTGTGTCTAGGAAGTAACTAACTTGCTTTTGATTTTACATGCTCATAGGCAGAAGGGACTTTTCTTGACTCAGATGAGACTTTGGACTTGGACTTTTGAGTTAATGCTGGAATGAGTGAAGACTTTGGGGGACTGTTGGGAAGGCATGATGCTGTTGTGAAATGTGAGGACATAGGATTTTGGAGGGGCCAGTGGTGGAATGATATGATTTGGCTCTGTGTCCCCACCTAATTATCATCTTGAATTGTAGTGTCCATAATCTGCAAGTGTTGTGGGAGGCACATGGGAGGCACGATGTGATGTAATTAAATCATGGGAGAGGTTACCCCATGCTGCTGTTCTTGTGATAGTGAGTTCTCATGAGATCTGATGGTTTTATAAGGGGTTTTTCCTCCTTCTGCTCAGCACTTCTTTGTTGCCTGTTGCCATATAAGACATGCCTTTGCTCCTCCTTCACCTTAAGCCATGATTGTGAGGCCTCCCAAGCCATGGGAAACTGTGAGTTCTTTAAACCTTTTTTTCTTTATAAATTAATCAGTCTTGAGTATGTCTTTATTAGCAGCATGTGAACAGACTAATACATGAAGAGTTATTGTTCAATGGATATAGAGATTCATTTATACAAGATGAAAAGAGTTATGGAAACAAACGATGTTTGAAAGTTACACATTTGACAATGAGTTACTATCCAAAATGTATAGAAAACTCAAACAACTCAATAGCAAATAATAATAATGGTAATTTTTAAATGGGCAGACTTGAATAGACATTTCTCAAAAGAATACATAAAAATGTCCAACAAGTATATGAAAAAAATGCTAATTATCACTAATCTTCAGGAAAATGCAAATCAAAATCACAATAAGATGTTATCTTATTATATTAAAATGGTTGCTATTTAAAAAGTCAGAAATGACAAGTGCTGGCAAGGATACAGAAAACAGGAAACCCTTATACACTGAGGGTGGGAATGTAAATTAGTCTGTACAACCATTAGGGAAAATAGTTGAAAGGTTCCTCAAAAAATCAAAAATAGAACTATCATGTGATACAGCAATCCCACTACTGGGCATATAAACAAAGAAAATGAAATTAGTATGTTGAAGAGATAGCTACACTACCATGTTTATTGTAGACCTGTTCACAATAGCCAAGATATGGAATCAACTAAGTGTCCATCAATGGATAAATGGATAAAGAAAATGTGGCATATATACACAATGGAGTAGTATTCATCCATTAAAAAAAGGAAATCCTGTTATTTGCAGCAATACAGCTGAACCTGGAAGACATTATGTTAACTAAAATGAGCCAGGTACAGAAAGACAAATGCCATATAATCATTTCTGGAATCTAAAAAAATTGATCTCACAGAAGTGGATTGTAGAGTGGCTTCCAGAGGCTGGGGAAGGTGAGCTTGAAGGGAAGATGGGTAGAGTTTGGGCAAAGGATACATAAATACAGTTAGACAGGAGGAATACATTTTAAAGATCTATTGTACAGCAAGGCAACTATAGTAATGACAATTTACTGTATTCTTATATAATGCAATGAGAGAGAATGTTAAGTGTTCTCAGCACAGAAAGGATAACTGTGAGGGAATGCAACTGTTCATTAACTAAAATTACCCATTACACACGTACATATAGTACAAAACATCATGTACAAGACAAATGCCTGCGATCTACCTGTCAAATAAAAAAGTTTTAAAATTTTTTAAATTTAAGCAAAAAGAGGACATAGAAAAAGAACAAAATAAACCCAAGGTAAAATGAAATAAGATGATAAAAACATGAAAATTAATTTAATAAATAAATAAAAATTAAATAAACATACCTTAAAATAATTTAATAAAAATTACAACAAAAATAGGTCTTGAAAAGATTATTGAAATTTAACCTTCGGTAGGTATGATGAAGAGCAAATGGCAAAAGGACCACTTACAATAAAAATAAATACTTCCCAAAAATGACATAATTAATAATACAAATAAAATTTTAAAAATTGTAAGAATAGCATGGGAAGCTTTAAATCAATAAATTTGAAAATGTAGATTAAGGGGTTGTTTGTTTTTTTCTTGTAAATTTGTTGGAGTTCACTGTAGATTCTGGACATTAGCCCTTTGTCAGATGAGTAGATTGCAAAAATTTTCTCCCATTCTGTAGGTTGCCTGTTCACTCTGATGGTAGTTCCTTTTGCTGTGCAGAAGCACTTTAGTTTAATTAGATCCCATTTGTCAATTTTGGCTTTTGTTGCCATTGCTTTTGGTGTTTTAGACATGAAATCCTTGCCCATGCCTATGTCCTGAATGGTGTTGCTTAGGTTTTCTTCTAGGGTTTTTATGGTTTCAGGTCTAACATTTAAGTCTTTAATCCATCTTGAATTAATTTTTGTATAAGGTGTAAGGAAAGGATCCAGTTTCAGCTTTCTACATATGGCTAGCCAGTTTTCCCAGCACCATTTATTAAACAGGGAATCCTTTCCCCATTGCTTGTTTTTGTCAAGTTTGTCAAAGATCAGATAGTTGTAGATATGCAGTATTATTTCTGAGGGCTCTGTTCTGTTCCGTTGATCTATATCTCTGTTTTGGTACCAGTACCATGCTGTTTTGGTTACTGTAGCCTTGTAGTATAGTTTGAAGTCAGATAGTGTGATGCCTCCAGCGTTGTTCTTTTGGCTTAGGATTGACTTGGCGATGCGGGCTCTTTTTTGGTTCCATATGAACTTTAAAGTAGTTTTTTCCAATTCTGTGAAGAAAGTCATTGGTAGCTTCATGGGGATGGCATTGAATCTATAAATTACCTTGGGCTGTATGGCCATTTTCATGACATTGATTCTTCCTACCCATGAGCATGGAATGTTCTTCCATTTCTTTGTATCCTCTTCTATTTCATTGAGCAGTGGTTTGTAGTTCTCCTCGAAGAGGTCCTTCACATCCCTTGTAAGTTGGATTCCTAGGTATTTTATTCTCTTTAAAGCAATTGTGAATGGGAGTTCACTCATGATTTGGCTCTCTGTTTGTCTGTTATTGGTGTATAAGAATGCTTGTGATTTTTGTACATTGATTTTGTATCCTGAGACTTTGCTAAAGTTGCCTATCAGCTTAAGGAGATTTTGGGCTGAGATGATGGGGTTTTCTAGATATACAATCATGTCATCAACAAGTAGGCAAATGATATGAACAGACACTTCTCAAAAGAAGACATTTATGCAGCCAAAAGACACATGAAAAAATGCTCATCATCACTGGCCATCAGAGAAATGTAAATCAAAACCACAGTGAGATACCATCTCACACCAGTTAGAATGGCGACCATTAAAAAGTCAGGAAACAACAGGTGCTGGAGAGGATGTGGAGAAATAGGAACACTTTTACACTGTTGGTGGGACTGTAAACTAGTTCAACCATTGTGGAAGTCAGTGTGGTGATTCCTCAGGGATCTAGAACAAGAAATACCATTTGACCCAGCCATCCCATTACTGGGTATATACCCAAAGGATTATAAATCATGCTGCTATAAAGACACATGCACACGTATGTTTATTGTGGCACTATTCACAATAGCAAAGACTTGGAACCAACCCAAATGTCCAACAATGATAGTCTGGATTAAGAAAATGTGGCACATATACACCATGGAATACTATGCAGCCATAAAAAGGATGAGTTCATGTCCTTTGTAGGGACATGGATGAAGCTGGAAACCATCATTCTCAGAAAACTATCACAAGGACAAAAAACCAAACACCGCATGTTCTCACTCATAGGTGGGAATTGAACAATGAGAACACATGGACACAGGAAGGAGAACATCACACACCAGTGCCTGTTGTGGGGTAGGGGGAGGGGGGAGGGATAGTATTAGGAGATATTCCTAATGCTAAATGATGAGTTACTGGGTGCAGCACACCAACATGGCACATGTGTACATATGTAACAAACCTGCACATTGTGCACATGTACCCTAAAACTTAAAGTATAATAAAAAAAAGAAAATATAGATGAAATGTACAATTTATTTAAAATATAAATTTACTACATTGACCTGAGAATAATTAGAAAATGAACACGCCAATAAGCCGAAACAAATAAAAATAATAGTTAAAACATACTTTGCATACCCACTCAAGAGAAAGACATGAGAACAGATGGTTTTTCAGGCTAGTTTATCAAACCTTTCAAGAGAAAGATATGCAAATTATTTCAGGTTTCACAAAAAGAGAATAATCTCCCTAACTCAAATCATAGGGACACTAGCCTCAAAAAACCTTATATTTTACCAGAAATAGGCAGTTAAAAATAAGAAATTAAATCCTATGTCACTTATAGATTGGAGCAAATATTCTAAATAAAATTTTAACTAAAGTAATCTATAGTTAAATTAAGCATGTCCAAATGTGTTTAAGCTAGAAAGACAAGGGTGACTCAACATTTAAAAATATAGTAACATAATTTACTATGTCAAAAATTAAAGAATAAAACACGCGATTATCTCAAAGGATGAAGAAACATAAAAATATTATAGACTCAACACACAATTGATTTTAAACATTTTTACCAAACAGAGACTAGAAAGGGATTTTCTTTACCTGTGAGTAGCTATCAGAAATCTAGGCCAAATATCATACTTCATGACAAAACATTTTAAGCATTCCAACTAAAGTCAGAAAAAGACAAAAATATATATATACATGGGTAAAAAAAGACAGTATAATTTTTTTGCTACTCTTTTCTTCTATTTGATTAAAAATACAACTGCATAAAGAAATAACTACAAAGATGTGTTGATAAATTTGTATAAAGATGTTATATGTATGACAATAATTGTGCAAAGAAAGATGAGAGAATGGAGTCATATTTGAGCAGTTTTTGTACACTAAGCAAATTAATAGGAATAGGAATAAGAAATAGATTATTGTAAGGTAAAAAGTTAATTATAATCCTTGGAGCAACCACTAAGAAAATATTTAAATATTTAAATGTAGTAAAAAAGTTACTTAAAATGTGAAACTAGAAAATATCTTTTTAAATGTAAAAAAGGCAATAATGGAAGACTAGAGGAGCAAAAAGGCATGACATACAGAAAACAAATGATAAAATGGTAAATGTAAATTCTACCTGTTCAGTAACTATATTAAAGAGAAATAAGTTAAATCATCCAATTAATAGGCAGAGATTGACAGAATAGATTTAAAAATATGACTCAACTGTATGTCTGTCTACAAGAGACAGACTCCAGATTCAAAGACATAAACAGGTTATAAGTAAAAGGGTGGAATAAAATATGTCATGTAAACAGTCACTTAAAAAGATCTGTGGCTATGTATTAATATCAGACAAAATAGATTTCAAGGCCAAAATGTTATAAGAGAAAAGAAAGATACTTTATAGTTGTAAAAGTTCAATTCATCAGGAAGACTTAACGCTTGTAAATTAAATATGCACCTAAAAATAGAGCATCAAAATACATGAAACAAAAACTGACAGATTTGGGCTGGGCGGGATGGCTCATGCCTGTAATCCCAGCACTTTGGGAGGCTGAGGCGGGCAGATCACTTGAGGCCAGGAGTTCAAGACCAGCGTGGCCAACATGGCGAAACCCCGTCTCTACCAAAAATACAAAAATTAACTGGGGGTGGTGGCATGCACTTGTAATCCCAGCTACTCAGGAGGCTGAGGCAGGAGAAGCACTTGGACTCAGGAGACGGAGGCTGCAGTGAGCTGAGATTGCACCACTGCACTCCAGCCTAGGTGACAGAGATTCTTCCACAAAAAAAAAAAAAAAAAAAAAAAAAAAAAAAAAAAAAAAAGACAAACGCTTATCTAGACTAACCAAGAAGAAAAGAGAGAAGATGCAAATCACTAAAACAAGGAATTAAAGAGAGTACATCTTAAGTTTCCTGTGTGGTTACTAAAAACAAATAAGTAAATAAATACTAAAAAGTGGACATCATCTTTAAAAAATACAAACTATAGAAATACATTTAAGAAGGAATAGAAAATCTGAATAGTCCTCTAACAAGTAAAGACATTGCATCAGTAATGAATAAGCTTCTCATAAAGATAGGTCAGGCCCAGATGGCTTCACTTGCAAAGTGTAGCAACATTAAATAATTCATATCAATCCTTCATACACTCTTCCAAAAAAAAAGAGAAAATACTTCCCAACCCATCCTATGAGGCCATTATTATTTCTTGATACCAAAACCAATGACATCACAAAAAAAAAACTGTAGATCCATATTTTTTCAGAATATAGATATAAAAACTTCAATAAAATACTAGCAAACTGAACCCAGTAACAATTCCATATTTAGGCATATATCCAAAAGAAATAAAAACATACTTCCACACAGAAACTTGCAGACAAATGTTCATAGCACCATTATATTTGTAATAGCCAAAAAATGTAAACAACACAATTTTCTGACAACTGATTAATGGATAAGCAAATGTGACATATGAAAAATTATTCTGCAATAAAAAGGAATGAAATATTGATTCATGCTGCAACATGGATGAACCTTGAAAATATTATGCTAAGTGAAATAAATTAGTCACAAAGAACCATGTGTGTTATGATTCCATTTATATGAAATGTCCAGACAGGCAAATCTACAGAAACAGAAAATAGTTTAGTGTTTGTCAATGGCTGAAGGCAGGAGAGAAATGGAGGATGGCTGCTAATGGATACAGGGTGTTTTGGAGGTGGTGAAAATGTTCCGAAATTAGATAGTAGTAATAGTTATAGAACTTTGTGAATGTACTAAAAACCACTAAATTTTGCACTTTAAAAAGTTAAATGTTATGTTAGGTGAATTACAACTCAATAAGGCTATTATTTTAAAATATCCCATTTAAATAACAACAGAACACCTGAGCATCTTATGAAAACATAACAAAAATACACAATATCATTATGTAAAATATTATGTAACTTTAATGAAGGAGATAAATGAAGAGACATATCCATTGATGGCTTCTCTTTAAAGTAGACAAAGATGTCAACTCTTTCTGAATCAATCTACAAATTCAGTGCAACCCTAAAAAATAAACCATGTGAGATGTTGCATGAATACTAACTCTAAAATTAGTTCAGAAGTGTAAACTCATTCCTTTAACAAGTATTTACTGAGTACTTATACTATGTCAAGCATTATTAAAGTTGTTAAGAGTATAATAATTGAAATAATAAGCTTTCATGGAACTTATATTTAGTAATGCACTAAAATAGACAAGACTTTTAGAAAAAAATTACAATGAGTTTCTTGATCTAGCAGATATCAAGATATATATAATCAATCAATATTCATTAAAGAAGCATAAAACTGGCACAAAAATAGCCAAAATAGATTTATACAACAGAATGTAACTCAAAAACAGATGTGTACACATACACTAATTTGGCATATGAGAAAGAGAAAAGGAATATGATTAAATAGACACTGCTTTGATAAGTGCGAACATGAATCTCTCTTTGAATAGATTTTTTTAAATGAACTTTTTGGCTCTGAACTCCAGTGTGCTTAGAACATGCAACTATAAAAAAAAAAAATCCATCCAGTTGTTTATCTCCCTGCTCGACATCAGCAGTCCGAAGAAAGGGTCTCAACTGATTATCAGCTGATGCTATGAAGCAAAACGTAGACTCTAGTTTGCTGGTTGGGGTCAAGGAACAAGAGAAAATCAGCAGGAAAACAAGTTTTGGAAAGCCCAGCTCTCACTCATATACTGAGCACTAATGGGTAAGAAATCCCTCTTAGAATCTCCTGACCCAAATCCCATTTCTTCCCCATCTTCCACTCAGGCATTCTTCTTTCTGATGCTTCTTTTAACAGGCCAAGAAATGCTCAAAGACAATAGAGGTCTGTGACCTTCTTATTAGTTTTGTTTGCTCACAACTCCCAAGAAGTGATGCTTCCTCATCCCCACTTCAAGTTTTTTGCATTTTGTTTTTCTTTTCTTTTTTTTTATTCTAAAACTGAGTGTGGTCAGTGTAAAGAGTGGGAGCATTAGTAAATACAGCTCATAGCAAGCAATACACTTAAACACTAGTCTAAGTGTGCTCAAAGAGTAGTGGGAAGATCTCTTCCAGGGGGTCTATGAGATCAAACTGTTTTCATGATAATACTGATATTATTTACCTTTTTCATTCATTCTCTCATGAGACAGGAGTTTTCCAGAGGCTACATAATATGTGATATGGCAACAGATTGGATATAGAAGCGCACATAATAATCCAGCTGTCTTCTATTAAACCAGACATTAAAGAGAATTGCAAAAATGTAAAGTAGTGCCACTCTTCTAAATATTTTGTTGTTTTGGTTATTTTTCATAAAAATGTTATTTATGTTAACACATAATAGGTTCATTGTTATTTTCAAATAAATTAACAGTTTTAAAATTATCCATTTTAATTTCTACTACAGTAAAATAACATGGACAAAAGTTCATAGGGTCCCCAATAATTTTTAAGAGTTGAAAGAGTTCCCATGATCAAAATGTTGGTAGCCTTGAAGGTCTCCAACCTACTAAGAGCCAGCCGTGGCAGAGTAGCACAAACAGGTAATAAAGCCCTCAATAGACATCGCTTGGAAAACTGAGGGAATAAAATGATTAATATACTAGATTGTGGAGAATAATAGTTTAAATTAGATAATGTGTATAAAATTTCTAGCAAAGCTCTTAATGCATAGACAATAATTAATGCATAAGTGCTTTCTTCTCTGACTTTGGAATAAGAACCACCAGGCTCAGGGAGAGAGGTGGAAAAAGATGGCAGAATAGGAAGCTGCACCAATCATCCCCATAGCAAGGACAGCAAGTTAACAACTACCTTCACAGGAAAACAACACCAAAAATAAGGTGAGCACTCATAACACCTGGTTTCAACTTCATATTGCTGAAAAAAGCACTGAAGAGATAGAAAAACAGCCCTGAATCACGTATGCCACCCCTCCCCAACCCTCGCAAGCATCTCTACGTGCTGGAGGAAGAACACAATTGTGAGGCATTGGACTCAGTGCTGTTCTGTTAGAGCAGAAGGGAAAACCAACAAACTCAGCTGACACCCATACACAGAGGGAGCATTTAAACTAGCCCTAGCCAGTAGGGAATTGCCAGTCCCAGTAGTCCGAACTATGAGTGCCTGCAAACCTCACCACCAAGGGCCAAAGTGCTCTCAGTCACTAAGTAAACTTGAAAGGCAGTCTAGATCATAAGGACTGCAACATTTAGGTGAGTCCCAGGGCTGAACTAGGCCCAGAGATAGTGGACTTGTTGTGAGGGTTGGGCATGGAATAGACTGAGAGACTAGCTAAGGAAGCCAAAGGAGTGCTGGCATCATCCCTCCCCTAACCCAAGGCTGCACAGTTCATGGCTCCAAAAGACACTCCTTTCTTCCACTTAAGGAGAAGGGAGGAAAGAGTGAGGAGGACTTTGTCTCGCTTCTTGGACACCAGCTCAGCCACGGCAGGTTAGGGCACCAGTCAGTCAGGAGGCCCCTGTTTCAGACCCTAGCCCCCAGCCAACATTTCTAGACACACCCTGGTCCAGAAGGGAACCTGTTGCCTTAACGAAAAGGACCCTGTCCTGCCAGCATCCATTGACTGCTAAATAAAGAGCCCTTGGGCCCTGAATAACCAGCAGTGATACCCACGTACTACACTGAGGGCCTTAGAGAGCCTCTGAGACTTGCTGGCTTGAGGTAAAACTCAGCATGTTACTAGCTGTGGTGGCTATGGGGCAAAACTCATTCTGCTTGAGAAAAGCAGAGGGAAAAGTAAAGGGGACTTTTTCTTGCACCTTAGGTAAGAACACTGCCACAAAGGGTAAAGCACCAAGTGGAATCTTGGGGGTCCTTGATTCCAGAACTGGACTTTTGGATGGCATTTCTGGACCTGCCCTGGGCCAGAGGGGAGCCCACTACCCTGAAGGGTGAGTCCCAGGCTAGACAACATTCACCACAAGCTAACTTAAGAGATCTTAGGCCTTAAAGGAATATTGATGGTAGTCTGGCAGTACTCCTCATGGCCATGGGCGGTGGGGGCTATGGGGGTGAGATTCTTCTGCCTTTGGAAAAAGAAAGGAAGAGTGGGAAGAACTATGTCTTGTGGTTTCCGTGCCAGCTCAGCTGCAATATAATAGAATACCAGATAGTCTCCTAAGGTTTTTGACTCTAGTCCCTGACTCCTGGATGGCACTTCTGGACCCACCTGGGGCTTGAGGGACCTTGCCACCCTAAAGCAAAGGACACAGGCCTGGCTGTCTTTGCTGCCTGGTGATTATAGAGCCCCAGGGCCTTGAGTGAACATAGGCAGTAGCCAGGGACTGGCTACAGCAGGCCTTGGGCAAGCCCCAGCACTATCCTGGCTTCAAGTCTGTGCAGTCATAGTGATGGTGGCCACAGGAGTGCTTGTGTCACTACACCCCCAGCTGTAGGTGGCTCAGAAAAGAGAAAGAGACTCTGTATGTTTGGGAGAAAGTAAGGGAAGAGAATAAGAATCTCTGCCTGGTAATACAGAGAATTCTGGTAATCTTACCCAAGACCATCAAGGCAATACCATAGCAACAGTCTGCAAGAACGGCAGCATTATTGGGCTTAGGGTGACCCCTAAAGCAGAAACAGCTTAAATCACAACACCCAAGTCCTTTCAAATATCTGGAAAGCCTTCTCAAGGATGGCTGCAAATAAGCCAAGACAGTGAAGATTACAATACATACATTACTCTTTGATTCCCAGACACTGAAGAATATCTACTAGCATCAACCATCAACATTGTCCAGGAAAACATGACCTTACCAAATTAACTAAATAAGGCACTAGGGACCAATCCTGAAAAAACAGAGATATGTGACCTTTCAGAAAGGGAATTCAAAATAGATGTGTTGAGGAAACTCAAGGAAATTCAAGATAATACAGGGAAGGAATTCAGAATTCAATCAGATATATTTAACAAAGAGATTGAAATAATTTTAAGAAATCAAGCAGAAATTCCAGTGCTGAAAAATGCAATTGGTATACTGAGGAATGCATAAGAGTCCTTCAATAGCAGAATGGATCAAGAAGAAGAGAGAATTAGTGAGCTTGAAGAAAAGCTATTTGAAAATATACTGTCAGAGGAGACAAAAGAAAAAAGAATAAAAAACAATAAAGTATGCCTACAGAATCTAGAAAATAGTCTCAAAAAGGCTATTTTAGAGAATTATTATTGAGAAATGGTAAGAATTACTGGCCTTAAAGAGGAGGTAAAGAAAGAGGTAGGGGTAGAATGTTTATTCAAAAGGATTATAACAGAGAACTTCCCAAACCTAGAGAAAGATATCAATAGCAAGTGCAAGAGGGTCATAGAGCATGAAGCAGATTTAACCCAAAGACTACCTCGAGGCATTTAATAATCAAACTTCCAAAGATCAGTAATAAAGAAAAGATACTAAAAGCAGTCAGAGAAAAAAAACAAATAACATACAATTAAGCTTCACTACATCTGGCAGTGGACTTCTCAGTGGAAACATTACAGGCCAGGAGAGAATAACATGACATATTTTAAATGTTGAAGAAAAAAAAAACTGTTAAGTCTAGAATAGTATATCCAGCAAAAATATCCTTGAAATATGAAGGTAAAATGAAGACTTTTCCAGACAAGCCAAAGCTGAGAGGTTTTATTAATACCAGGTCTGTCCTGTAAGAAATTCTGGCCAGGCGCGATGGCTCATGCCTGTAATCCCAGCACTTTGGGAGGCTGAGGCGGGCAGATCACAAGGTCAGGAGATTGAGACCATCCTGGCTAACACGGTGAAACCCGTCTCTACTAAAAAATACAAAAAATTAGCCGGGCATCGTGGTGGGCACCTGTAGTCCCAGCTACTCAGGAGGCTGAGGCAGGAGAATGGTGTGAACCTGGGAGGTGGAGCTTGCAGTGAGCAGAGATCATGCCACTGCACTCCAGCCTGGGCGATAGAGCGAGATTCTGTCTCAAAAAAAAAAAAAAAAAAAAAAAAGAAAGAAATGCTGAAGGGAGTATTTCAATCAGAAAGAAAATAACATTAATGAGCAATAAATAATCACCTGAAAATAGAAAATTTACTGGTAATAGCAAGTAAACACAAAAACACAGAACATTGTAACACTGTAACTGTTGTGTGTAAGTAAACTAATCTTATACTAAATAGAAGGACTAAATGATGAACCAATAAAAAGTAATAACTACAACAACTTTTCAAGACATAATCAGTACAATAAGATATAAATAGAAACAATGAAAAGTTAAAAAGTGGGAGGACAAAGTTAAGGCAAGTTTTTGTTAGTTTTCTTTTTGCTTGTTTGTTTGTTTATGCAAATAGTGTTAAGTTGTTATCAAGTTAAAATAATGGATTATAAGATAGCATTTGTAAGCCTCATGTAACCTCAAACCAAAAAATATGCAATAGATACACAAAAAATAAAAAAGGAAGAAACTAAATTGTATCAACAGAAAAAATCATCTTTACTAAAGAAAGATAGTAATGAAAGAAAGAAGGAAGAGAAGATCACAAGACAACCTGGAAACAACAAAATGGCAAGAGTAAGTGTGCACATGTACCCTAAAACTTAAAGTATAATAATAATTAAAAAAAAGAGTAAGTTCTTACTTATCAACAATAACATTGAATGCGAATGGACTAAACTCTCCAGTGAAAATACATTGACTGACTGAACGGATGAAAAAACAAGATCCATTGATCTTTGCCTACAAAAAACACTTCACCTATAGACACACATAGAATGAAAATAAAGGGATGAAAAAAGATATTCCATCCCAATGGAAAACTAAAAAGAGCAGGAGTCACTATAGTTATATAAGACAAAATAAATTTCAAGATGAAAACTATAAGAAAAGACAAAGAGTGTCACTATATAATGATAAAGTGGTCACTTCAGCAAGGGGATATAACAATTTTCAATATAAATATTTTATAAAATTTAAATATATATTTATTACATAAAATTTAAATATAAAGTACCCAATATATAAAAGATATATAAAGAAAATACTATTAGAGCTAAAGAAAAACATAGGCCCCAATACAATAAGAGCTGGAGACTTCAGTACCCCACTTGCAGCATTGGACAGATCTTCCAGACAGAAAATCCATAAAGAAACCTCAGACTTATTCTGCACTATAGACCAAATAGACCTAATAGATATTTACAGAACATTTCATACAAGAGCTGCAGAATACACATCCTTTTCCTCAGCACATGGATCATTCTGAAGGATAGACTATATATTAGGTGACAAAACAAGTCTTAAAACATTCAAAAAATTTAAATAATATCAAGCATCTTCTCTGGCCAAAAGGGGATGAAACTAGAAATGAATAATCAGAAATTTTGGAAAATATACAAATACATAAAAGTTAAACAATATGTTCCTGAATGACCAGTGGGTCAATGAAATATTGAAAACTTCTTGAAACAAAGAATAATGGAACCACAACATACCAAAACCTATGGGATATAGCAAAAGCAGTACTAAGAGGGAATTTTTCAGCTATAAGTGCCTGCACCAAAAAAAAAAGAGAAAAAACTTCAAAAAACAATCTAACAATGCATCTTATAGAACTAGAATAGCAAGAGCAAACCAAACCCCAAAGTAGTAGAAGATAAATAATAAAGATTAGAGCAGAAATAAATAAGATTAAAATTTGCAAAACACAAAAGATCAATGTAATAAAAGTTGGGTTTTTGAAAAGTTAAACAAAATTGACAAACCGTTAGCCAGACTAACAAAGAAAAAAATAGAGAAGCTCTAAATAAATAAAATCAGAAATGAAGAAGGTGGCATTGCAACTGATACTGCAGAAATTCAAAGGATGATTAGTGGCTACTATGAGCAAGTATATGCCAATAAATTGGAAAACCTAGAAGAAATGAACAAATACTTAGGTAGATACAACCTACCAAGATTGAACCAAGAAGAAATAAAAAACCTGAGCAGATAAATAACAAGTAATGAGATTGAAGCCATAACAAAAAGTTTCCAGGAAAGAAAACCCAGGACCTGATGGCTTCACTGCTGAATTCTACCAAACATTTAAAAAACTAATACCAATCATACTCAAATTATTCCAAAACATAGAAGAGGAAGGAATACGTCAAACTCATTCTACAAGGCCAGCATTATCCTGATACCAAAACCAGACAAAGACACATCAAAAAAAGAAAACTACAAGCCAATATTTTTTATGAATATTGATGCATAAATCCTCAACAAAATACTAGCAAACAGAATCCAACAATACATTGGAAAGATCATTTATCATGACCAAGTGGGATTTAATCCTGGGATGCAGGAATGGTTCAACATTTGCAAATCAATCAATGTGATACATTACATCAAAAGAATATAGGACAAAACCATATGATCATTTTAACTGATGCTTAAAAAAGCATTTGATAAAATCCAACATCCCTTCATGATAAAACCCCTAAAAATCAGGGGATAGAAGGACCATACCAAAATGAAATACAAGCCATATATGACAGACCTACAGCTAGTACCATACTGAATGATACTAGCTGAATGGGGAAAAACTGAAAGCCTTTCCTGTAAGATCTGCAACACAACAAGAATGCCCACTTTCATCACTGTTATTCAGTATAGTACTAGAAGTCCTAGCTAGAGCAATCAGACAAGAGAAAGAAATAAAGGGCATCCAAATTGGAAAGGAAAAAGCCAAAGTATCCCTCTTTGCAGATGCTATGATCTTATATTTGGGGAAACCTAAAGACTTCACAAGACAACTATTAGAACTAATAAACAAATTCAGTAAACTTGCAGGATAAAAAATGAACACACAAAAATCAGTAGCATTTCTATATGCCAACAGTCAAAGATGTGAAAAACAAATTTTTTAAAAAAAATCCCATTTACAATAGCCACACATAAAATGAATTATCTAGGAATGAACTTAACCAAAGAAGTGAAAGATCTCTATAATGAAAACTATAAAACACTCATGAAAGTAATTGAAGAGGACACCAAAAAAAGGAAAAAGATTCCATGTTTATGGGTGGAAGAATCAATATTGTTAAACTATTTATAGTACCCAAAGCTGTCTACAGATTCAATGCAATCCCTATAAAAATACCAATGATATTCTCCACAGAAATAGAAAAACCAATCATAAAATTTATATGGAATCACAAAAGACTCAGAATAGCCAAAGCTAGCCTAAGCAAAAAGAACAAAACTGGAAGAATCACATTACCTGACTTCAAATTATACCACAGAGCTACAGTAACCAAAACAGCATACTAGTGTCATAAAAACAAACACATAGACGAATTGAACAGAATAGAGAACCCACAAACAAATCCACACACCTACAATGAACTCATTTTAAACAAAGGTACCTAGAACACAAACTAGGGGAAAAGACTCTCTTCAATAAATGGTGCTGGGAAAACTGGGTATACATATGCACAAGGATTAAACTAGACCCCTATCTCTCACCATGCACAAAAATCAAATCAAAATGGATTAAAGACTTAAATCTAGGGCCTCAAACCATGAAACTGCTACAAGAAAACATTGGGGAAAATCTCTAGGACATTATTAACCTGGGCAAAAATTTCTTGAGCAATAACCCACAAACACAGGCAACCAAATCAAAAGTGGACAAATGGGATCACATCAAGTTAAAAAGCTTCTTCATAGTAAAGTATACATTCGACAAAGTGAAGAGACAACCCACAGAATGGAAGACAATATTCTCAAACGATCCACGTGACAAGGGATTAATAAACCAAATGTGTAAGGAGCACAAACAACTCTATATGAAAACAATCTAATAATCTGATCAAAAATAGGCAAAAGATTTGAATAGACATTTCTCAAAAGAAGACATACAAATAGCATGCAGGCATATGAAAATGTGCTCAACGTCATTGATCATCAGAGAAATGCAAATCAAAACTACAGTGAGATATCATCTCACCCCAGTTAAATGGTTTATATCCAAAAGACAAGACAATAGCAAATGCTGGCATGGATGTGGAGAAAAGGGAACACTTGCACACAGCTGGTGTGAATGTAAATTAGCACAACCATTATGGAGAACTTTTTGGAGGTTCCTCAAAAAACTAATAATTAATCTACCATATGATCCAGCAATCCAACTGCTGGATATATACACAAAAGAAAGGAAATCAGTATACTGAAGAGATTGTACTCCTATGTTTGTGGCAGCACTGTTTGCAATAGCTAAGATTTGGAAGCAACCTAAGTGTCCATCGATAGATGAATGGATAAAGAAAATGTGGTACATATACACAATGTAGTAATGTTCAGCCATAAAAAAAGAATGCAATCCAGTCGTTTGCAACAACATGAATGGAACTGGAGATCATTACATTAAATGAAATAAGCCAGGCACAGGAAGACAAACATTGCATGTTCTCACTTACTTGTGGGATCTAAAAATCAAAACAATTGAACTCATGGGCATAGAGAGCAACCAGAGGCTGAAAAGTATAGCTGGCGGCTTGAGGGGGAGGTGGGGATTGTAAATGGGTATCAAAAAATATAGAAAAAATAAATAAGGCCTACTATTTGATAGCACAACAGGATGACTATAGTCAAAAATAACTGTACCTTTTGAAATAACTTGAACAGTCTCTTGAAAAGGCCTGAGTTGGAGAAACTGGAGGTGTTTCAGCCAGCAATAGAATTTAATGTCTTCCACCTTTTAGACAATCCAGGAATGAATATAGACTCCGGGAAAGGAACTAGGCACCTATTGTTTCCAGTATCCTTTTTCACACCCATCATCAGAATTGCAGCATAGGATTCTGCAGGTTGTGCAGTGCGCGACAGTGCCACATTTGTAAATGATACAGGAGTATCATTTACAGCTCAAACATCATAGGTTTGTGATAATTTATTACGAGAGGGCAGTAAAATTATTATGGCAGTTTTCAACAGAAATGTCTAGAGAAGATGCTTTTTTCCCCTAAAATGGGTAGACACGCTTCATAGAACAGTGACAGCCTTGCCTGTACTATCCAATGAAGACCATGATTTTTCTCAAGAGGTGTCGGCTTCATGTTACTCCATTCATTACAAAGAGCAAGTGACAATGATAAGAGAACTAGATCCAAATCCTATCACTACAACTGTCTAGTTTCGTGTGCCTGGGCAGATAAATTCTATCTATATGTGCTTTAGTATTTTCAGGTCTAAGATAGGGATGATAACATAATTGTTTCCCAGCCTACTCTATAGGGTTCATTAAGGATCAGGTGAAATCCTATATGTGAAACTTCCTTATAAACTATAAAGCGATGTACAAACATATAGAACTTTGTTTTCAGTGTGATAAACGGTAATTCCCCGTTTTTATACCCCATGATAATGGTGGTGCAAGACATGAGGTAGCACTATCGAGGAGAAACTGCATATACTCATGGCTCACCATGGGCTCCATAGGGTGAGGGTGATGCCTACACCAGTGAAAGAGGAACCAGTAAACTTATACCAAAGTTTGTGAACAAATAAAGACATGAGGAAAAAAGGTGGATCTAAGGGGGAAATTGTATAAGGAACAACTAAATTAACACTTTCCATTTTCACCTCTGAAGGTTCCCTAGCCTCAAAATAGAATAACACATCTGAAGCTTTTTACAAGGCATCCAACATGAATCTTCCATTTTTGTGTTATTCGGCAGGACCTGTGATGACATTCCAGGAGCAGGCCCCATAGGAGGCTCCCTGGACTGTGGAGAATCACAATATTCCTGACTGCCAAAACTTTGGAGAAGTAAGCACATGAAGGGAGGCCATCACAATCTTGATACACTGGGGGTTGAAGAGTTTCCTCTTCATGGCTCTGCACAGAGCATCTTTGAGCTCCTTGTTCCTCAAGATCTACATGACAGAGTTCAGCAGGGGAGTGATAATGGTGTAGGTCACTGAGATGAGTCTGTTCTGCCCCAGGAAACTCTGGGACTTAAGCTTCAGGTAGATGATGGAAATATAGCCATAGTGGCTGATGACCACTATGAGATGGGAGGTGCAGGTGGCACAGGCCTTCTTCCTACCCTCAGTTGAAGCAATCTTAAGGATGGTGTAGATGATGAGGTCATAGGAGATAAAGATCAGGGCAATATGTAGGACAAGGACACAGACACTGACAACAAAGTTGATTATCTCATTGACAGTGGTGTCTGTGCAGGCCAGCTTCAGCAGGGGTCTCACATCACAGAAGAAGTGGGAGATGACAAAGTCATCACAAAAGGGCAGGCCAAACATAGATGTTACTTGGACAATAGCCATGCCCAGGCCAATCCTCAGTGACCCAGATCCCAGCCAGACACAAGCCCTCTTACCTATGAATACCGTAAGGGGTTGCAGAAGACCACATAGCAATCATATCCCATGGCTATGAGAAGAAAGCAGTTGTTGATGCCAAAAGTCACATAGAAGAGCTGAGTGACACAGCCTTGCATGACAATAAGCTAGTGAGGATTCAAGAGGCGAGAAAGCATATGGGGAGTAATGGCCACCATGTAGCAGGTCTCAGAGATAGACAGCAATGCTCAGGAAGAAGTACATGGGGGTGTGGAGGTGAATGTCCAGGCGAGTAATGGTCACAATAATCACATTGCCAGAGACAGTCAGCAGGTACAAAGTTAGAAAGACAACAAAGAAGACAAATCTGTGCTGTCACCTGAAGCTGGAGAAACCTTCAAAGAAGAGCTCAGTCACAGCAGTGGACTTTGACCTTGGCACTGAAGAATGTCTAAATCTGAAGGAAATGGACAACGGAAAGACAGAGGTGAGGCTCCAACTATGTAACAGATTACACAGTTGTCTGAGCAGCATCAGTTTTTTGGATTCCTTAGATAATGTTCCAGGCACAGGGGTTATCTTTGTTCCTCTACTGATCAAGAGCTCAGCACTCTTGGGAATAAACTAAGAGACATCTAATGACCTACTGGATTAAGGGCAGAGATCAAAGGGAAGGAAATTTCAACATAATGTGAACAACAAAATTAAGAAAACAGCTACCCTACTTGACCATTAAAGAGGTGGGTCCAGGTCAGAGAGGAAGAAAATGTTGAATGGGCCAGGCACTTCAGCTTCCTCTATGCTTACCCTTAATCTGAGCCTTTGATGACACAATGAGGAGGCAGAGATAGTGAATGTTGATAAATATCTGGGTTTAATCCATTCATTTCCATCAGTATGAATTGCCAGCAAAGACTGCCCTGGGAGGATCCCAGATCAAGCATTCTTCCCAAATATTTGGAGTCCTGGGCATTACTTTCCTTAGCTCTGCTCCTTTAGATGACTAGTGCAAGGCCAGGCTGTGGGCGAGCCACCCAAACTACAATAGTGGCCATGTTTTCGGAAATAGAGGTCAATGTTTTGGTCTTTTTTTCCAGTTGTTACCATAACAAACATTTCTGCAATAGAAAACTTTGTCAGGATGTCATTTCACACATAAGTGAATAACAGGTAGTGAAAAAATGCAGAGTCAAAAGTTATGAGCATCTTCAACTTTGATAGAGTGCCATGTTTTTCTCTATAAAATTTTTACCAAGTGATCTCTCACAAAGAATGTATCAAAATGCAATTTTCCATTGTTATGGCTCAAAGAAGAAATAGAGTGTAATGGGAAGCAGTATGTACTCTGAAGCCACACTGCCCAGAATTTAATTTTGGTTCCACCAGGTCATAACTATGTAACTGTGGGCAAGTTATTTAACTTGTCTGTGTCTCAATTGCTTTATCTCTAAAATGAGCTTAATGATAGCAACTTCTTTACAGAGTCATTGTGAGGATTAAATCCATTAATATCTCAAAGTGCTTAGAAAAGTCTCTGGCACCTAGTGAATGCTATATGGTACTCTAAGTGTACATAAAATCTGAAACATTCCATCAGCAGAGATATTAAAGGAGATGTGTTTAACCAGGAAGAATTCCAATGATGATTTTAGAAAGAATTGGAAGCTAAAGACAAAGGACAGTAATTACAGAAACTGTGCATGAATACAATCAATTTTATAACTTATTCAATGTGGTTATGTAGTTAATTCTTATATTTCTCTATGAAATCAGTGATAAAATTCACAACTGATCTTAAAGGGAGAAGAATCCCAAAGAAGAGCATTACTTAATTTATTTATTCATCAAATATTTCTTATTCCCATACTATGTGTCAAGGTCTATGAATTCAATAGCTAGTACATTTTAGTTTCTTGTTAATTATTTACTGAGTGAATAAAGCATGGGAAAGAGTCCCTGATGTTAAATAACTCACAACATCAATAGAAAAGAAAGGTAAATGGGAGTAACAATGTAGAGAGTAAGGGGTGCTATGATAGAGCTTAGTGTAGGATGATATGGAAACATGAAGAAGGGTTCCTAACTCAGTCTTAGGGTCAAAGAATACTATAAAGGAGGTATTGTCCAAGATAGTAAAGGAAAAGTGAATAAGGCTTATGTTGCAGGCAGCATCAAGTATGAGGGCCCAGCATTTCTAAGATCCAGATGAAGCAGCATGAGAATCTCTGTAGCTCAGTGGTTACATATGGAGGACCCAGAAACAGAATAGCAAAGACTTGGAACCAACCCAAATGTCCAACAATGATAGACTGGATTAAGAAAATGTGGCACATATACACCATGGAATACTATGCAACCATAAAAAATGATGAGTTCATGTCCTTTGTAGGGACATGGATGCAATGGGAAATCATCATTCTCAGTAAACTATCGCAAGAACAAAAAACCAAACACCGCATATTCTCACTCATAGGTGGGAATTGAACAATGAGAACACATGGACACAGGAAGGGGAACATCACACTCTGGGGACTGTTGGGGGATGGGGGGAGGGGGGAGGGATAGCATTGGGAGATATACCTAATGCTAGATGACGAGTTGGTGGGTGCAGCGCACCAGCATGGCACATGTATACATATGTAACTAACCTGCACATTGTGCACCTGTACCCTAAAACTTAAAGTATAATAATAAAAAAAAAAGAAGGCCTGGTGATAAATTCTCATTCCACCTGGGCAAAGTCTGAACCTGTCTGTAACACAAGTTCCTCATCTATAAAATGGGTAATGTTAGTACTTAACTCATAAGAATATTGTGAGGCTCAAATGAGTCAATACATAAATCATTGAGCAAGGTGACTGACAAATAGTAACATCCCGAAAAATTTTGGCCATAATTATTATTATCATGATTAGAGAAGATTATTATGTCATGTTTAGGGAATAAAAGAGTGGTTCTGAATGGATCTAGGACTTTGTGCTTCATAGCAACATTAAAGAGGCTGAGTCCTTGGGAACTGCTATAAGGAAGAAAGAGAAACCAAGCTATGACCCTGGGATTGAAAAGCACCATGGTGTGTGGGATTTTCCAAAACACAAATGATGAATTTGATATGTCCGTCATGTACTTCCTAGTATTGTGTGAGCTGAATGAGCCTATATTGCTCTGTGCACTCCATTCGTAACTGTATTTAAATGAATCACATCCCTTCTCTGCTTCTTTTACTGTAGACTTCAGAGTCTCTTCTTATCAGATAACTTGCACACTGGAGATCTTGAGACTCTCACCAGGGCATTTCCGCAGCTATTCTCTGAATCTTCTGCAGTAGTGTGAATGAGAAATTTACCTGCGCTGCATGAAGCTGACCAAGGATTTGCATAAGGATTCTTTTCTTTTGACTGCTCACCGATTAAACCCATCTCCGCTTTGTTTTTAACTTTTTAGGCCTGTATACTTAGGAATAGCCTATTGTGGCATCAAATTCCACTTTCTTTTTAATTAGTAAGTCAGAACATTGTGCTTTAAGCATACTCCGTACTCTCTTTTTCTAATACATTATTTTGCAATTTCTCACTGAGACTTACCTGCCTCTTCCAACCAGCTGCAAAGAGATTTTGGTCATTCATTTCCATTGATTTTATATCTTCACAAACTTTGAGGAGTCTACCTATACATTTCCATCAAGATAATTAACCACTTAACTTTACATGTATTATCTATCTCTAATCTATCCATAATGATAAAGTCTCTCCATTATTTTAATGGCTCAAATGTTGAAGACAGCTTTTCCAATTTTTTAAAAATTATATTGAATAGGAGTGGTGAGAGAGGGCATCCCTGTCTTGTGCCAGTTTTCAAAGGGAACGCTTCCAGTTTTTGCCCATTCAGTATGATATTGGCTGTGGGTTTGCTATAGATAGCTGTTATTACTTTGAGATACGTCCCATCAATACCTAATTTATTGAGAGTTTTTAGCATGAAGGGTTGTTGAATTTTGTCAAAGGCCTTTTCTGCATCTATTGAGATAATCATGTGGTTTTTGTCTTTGGTTCTGTTTATATGCTGGATTACATTTATTGATTTGTGTATATTGAACCAGCCTTGCATCCCAGGGATAAAGCCCACTTGATCATGGTGGATAAGCTTTTTGATGTGTTGCTGGATTCATTTTGCCGGTATTTTATTGAGGATTTTTGCATCAATGTTCATCAAGGATATTGGTCTAAAATTCTCTTTTTTGGTTGTGTCTCTGCCCGGCTTTGGTATCAGGATGATGCTGGCCTCATAAAATGAGTTAGGGAGGACTCCCTCTTTTTCTGTTGATTGGAATATTTTCAGAAGGAATGGTACCAGTTCCTCCTTGTACCTCTGGTAGAATTTGGCTGTGAATCCATCTGGTCCTGGACTCTTTTTGGTTGGTAAGCTATTGATTATTGCCACAATTTCAGAGCCTGTAATTGGTCTATTCAGAGATTCAACTTCTTCCTGGTTTAGTCTTGGGAGGGTGTATGCGTCAAGGAATTTATCCATTTCTTCTAGATTTTCCAGTTTATTTTCGTAGAGGTGTTTGTAGTATTCTCTGATGGTAGTTTGTATTTCTGTGGGATTGGTGGTGATATCCCCTTGATCTTTTTTTATTGCATCTATTTGATTCTCCTCTCTTTTTTTCTTTATTAGTCTTGCTAGCAGTCTATCAATTTTGTTGATCCTTTCAAAAAACCAGCTCCTGGATTCATTAATTTTTTGAAGGGTTTTTTGTGTCTCTATTTCCTTCAGTTCTGCTCTGATTTTAGTTATTTCTTGTCTTCTGCTAGCTTTTGAATGTGTTTGCTCTTGCTTTTCTAGTTCTTTTAATTGTGATGTTAGGGTGTCAATTTTGGATCTTTCCTGCTTTCTCTTGTGGGCATTTAGTGCTATAAATTTCCCTCTACACACTGCTTTGAATGTGTCCCAGAGATTCTGGTATGTTGTGTCTTTGTTGTCATTGGTTTCAAAGAACATCTTTATTTCTGCCTTCATTTCGTTATGTACCCAGTAGTCATTCAGGAGCAGGTTCTTCAGTTCCCATGTAGTTGAGCGGTTTTGAGTGAGTTTCTTAATCCTGAGTTCTAGTTTGATTGCACTGTGGTCTGAGAGACAGTTTGTTATAATTTCTGTTCTTCTACATTTGCTGAGGAGAGCTTTACTTCCAACTATGTGGTCAATTTTGGAATAGGTGTGGTGTGGTGCTGAAAAAATGCATATTCTGTTGATTTGGGGTGGAGAGTTCTGTAGATGTCTATTAGGTTCACTTGGTGCAGAGCTGAGCTCAATTCCTGGGTATCCTTGTTAACTTTCTGTCTCGTTGATCTGTCTAATGTTGACAGTGGAGTGTTAAAGTCTCCCATTTTTATTGTGTGGGAGTCTAAGTCTCTTTGTAGGTCTCCAAGGACTTGCTTTATGAATCTGGGTGCTCCTGTATTGGGTGCATATATATTTAGGATAGTTAGCTCTTCTTGTTGAATTGATCCCTTTACTATTATGCAGTGGCCTTCTTTGTCTCTTTTGATCTTTGTTGGTTTAAAGT
This sequence comes from Homo sapiens, assembly GCF_000001405.40. NCBI lineage: Eukaryota > Metazoa > Chordata > Mammalia > Primates > Hominidae > Homo > Homo sapiens. The sequence continues at coordinate 163,319 of NW_025791759.1, forward strand.
CTGTTTTATCAGAGACTAGGATTGCAACCCGTGCCTTTTTTTGTTTTCCATTTGCTTGGTAGATCTTCCTCCATCCTTTTATTTTGAGCCTATATGTGTCTCTGCACATGAGATGGGCTTCCTGAATACAGCACACTGATGAGTCTTGACTCTTTATCCAATTTGCCAGTCTGTGTCTGTTAATTGGAGCATTTAGCCCATTTACATTTAAAGTTAATATTGTTATGTGTGAATCTGATCCTGTCATTGTGATGTTAGCTGGTTATTTTGCTCATTAGTTGATGCAGTTTCTTCCTAGCCTCGATGGTCTTTACATTCAACATAGTGTTGGAAGTTCTGGCCAGGGCAGTTAGGCAGGAGAAGGAAATAAAGGGTATTCAATTAGGAAAAGAGGAAGTCAAATTGTCCCTGTTTGCAGATGACATGATTGTATATCTAGAAAACCCCATTCTCTCAGCCCAAAATCTCCTTAAGCTGATAAGCAACTTCAGCAAATACTCAGGATAGAAAATCAATGTACAAAAATCACAAGCATTCTTATACACCAATAACAGACAAACAGAGAGCTAAATCATGAGTGAACTCCCATTCACAATTGCTTCAAAGAGAATAAAATACTTAGGAAGCCATCTTACAAGGGACGTGAAGGACCTCTTCAAGGAGAACTACAAACCACTGCTCAGTGAAATAAAAGAGGATACAAAGAAATGGAAGAACATTCCATGCTCATGGGTAGGAAGAATCAATATCGTGAAAAAGGCCATACTGCCCAAGGTAATTTACAGATTCAATGCCATCCCCATCAAGCTACCAATGACTTTCTTCACAGAATTGGAAAAAACTACTCTAAAGTTCATATGCAACCAAAAAGAGCCCGCATCGCCAAGTCAATCCTAAGCCAAAAGAACAAAGCTGGAGGCATCACGCTACCTGACTTCAAACTATACTACAAGGCTACAGTAACCAAAACAGCATGGTACTGGTACCAAAACAGAGATATAGATCAACGGAACAGAACAGAGCCCTCAGAAATAATGCCACATATCTACAACTATCTGATCTTTGACAAACCTGAGAAAAACAAGCAATGGGGAAAGGATTCCCTATTTAATAAATGGTGCTGGGAAAACTGGCTAGCCATATGTAGAAAGCTGAAACTGGATCCCTTCCTTACACCTTACACAAAAATTAATTCAAGATGGATTAAAGACTTAAATGTTAGTCCTAAAACCATAAAAACCCTAGAAGAAAACCTAGGCGTTACCATTCAGGACATAGGGATGGGCAAGGACTTCATGTCTAAAACACCAAAAGCAATGGCAACAAAAGACAAAATTGACAAATGGGATCTAATTAAACTAAAGAGCTTCTGCACAGCAAAAGAAACTACCATCAGAGTGAACAGGCAACCTACAACATGGGAGAAAATTTTCACAACCTACTCATCTGACAAAGGGCTAATATCCAGAATCGACAATGAACTCAAACAAATTTACAAGAAAAAAACAAACAACCCCATCAAAAAGTGGGCAAAGGACGTGAACAGACACTTCTCAAAGGAAGACATTTATGCAGCCAGAAAAACACTTGAAAAAATGCTCACCATCACTGGCCATCAGAGAAATGCAAATCAAAACCACAATGAGATACCACCTCACACTTGTTAGAATGGCAATCATTAAAAAGTCAGGAAACAACAGGTGCTGGAGAGGATATGGAGAAATAGGAACACTTTTACACTGTTGGTGGGACTGTAAACTAGTTCAACCATTGTGGTAGTCAGTGTGGCGATTCCTCAGGGATCTAGAACTAGAAATACCATTTGACCCAGCCATCCCATTACTGGGTATATACCCAAAGGACTATAAATCATGCTGCTATAAAGACACATGCACACGTATGTTTATTGTGGCACTATTCACAATAGCAAAGACTTGGAACCAACCCAAATGTCCAACAATGATAGATTGGATTAAGAAAATGTGGCACATATACACCATGGAATACTATGCAACCATAAAAAATGATGAGTTCATGTCCTTTGCAGGGACATGGATGAAATGGGAAATCATCATTCTCAGTAAGCTATCACAAGAACAAAAAACCAAACACCAAATGTTCTCACTCATAGGTCGGAATTGAACAATGAGAACACATGGACACAGGAAGGGGAACATCACACTCTAGGGACTGTTGTGGGGTAGGGGGAGGGGGGAGGGATAGCATTAGGAGATATACCTAATGCTAAATGATGAGTTAATGGGTGCAGCACACCAGCATGGCACATGTACACATATGTAACTAACCTGCACATTGTGCACATGTACCCTAAAACTTAAAGTATAATAATAATAAAATAAAATAAAAAAGTAAATAAATAAAAATAAAAAAATATATTGCTTGTTTTTATTAATCTTTCTTAAATGTATGTATAGTTCACACTTATTTAATGGGTTTTTTAGGTTTTTAAATTGGCACATAATATTTTACATATTTATGGGGTACATGTGAGTATTTGTTACATGCAGTGAATGTATAATGATCAAATCAGCGTATTTAGGGTATCTATCACCTTCAGTATTTATCATTTCTATGTGTTGGAAACATTTCAAGTCCTCTCTTCTAGCTACTTTGAAATTTACAATACGTTGTTACTAGCTGCAGTCACCCTAACCTGCTGTGGACCATGAGAATTTATAACTTCTAACTGTATGTTTGTACCCATTGACCAACTTCTCTTCATCACCACCCTCCTACCCACACACCATTCCTAGGCTTTCGTGTCTACCGTTCTGTTCTCTACCTCGATGAAATCAACTTTTGTAGCTCCCACATATGAGAGAGGACATGTAAAATTTTTCTTTTTGTGTCTGGCTTATTTCACTTAATGACCTCCAGTTCCATCCATGTTGCTTCAAATGATGGGATTTCATTCTTTTTATGGTCAAACAGTATTCCATTGTGTTTACATACCACATTTACTTTGTACATTTGTCAGTTGATGGCCACTTAGGTGAATTCCATATCTTAGCTATTTTGAAGAGTGTTGCAATAAACATGAAAGTGTAGATATCTCTTCAATATATTGATTTCCTTTCTTTTGAACATATACCCAACAGCAGAATTGCTGGATCATATGGTAGTTCTATTTTTAGCTTTTGAGAAATGTCATACTGTTTTCTATAGCAACTGTACTAATTTACGTTCCCACCAATATTGTATAAGAGTTCCCTTTTCTTGGCATCTTCTGTTATTTATTAATTTTAGTAATAGCCATTCTAACCAGGGTAAGATGATATATCTCATTGTGGTTTTGATTTGAATTTCCCTGATGATTAGTGATATTAAGCATTTTTTCATGTATGGTTGGTCATTTGTATATCTTCTTTTGAAAAATGTCTATTCTTGTCCTTTGCCCACTTTTTAATTGGATTTTTATTTTTACTGTTGAGGTGAGTTCCTTGTATATTCTGGATATTAGTCCCTTGTGGGATGAATAGTTTGCAAATATATACTCCCATTCAATGTGTTGTTTCTCAACTTTTGATTGTTTCCTTTGCTGTGAAGAAGCTATTTAGTTTAATAGAGTTCAATTTATCTGTTTGTTTTTATCTATGCTTTTGCGATCTTCATTATACATAAATCTTTGCCTGCATCAGTATTCTGAAGGGTTTTCCCTACGTTTTCTTCTAGTTATTTCATAGTTTTGGGTCTTACATTCAAGTCTTTGATCCATCTTGAGTTGATTTTTTTATATGGTGAGAGATAGAAGCCCACTTTTATTCTTCTGCATATGGACATCCAATTTTCCCAGTACCACTTATTGAAGAAGGTATCCTTTTCCCAATGCATGTTCTTAGTGCCTTTGTCTAAAATCAGTTGACTGTGAATAAATGAATGCATTTCTGAATTCTCTATTCTGTTTCACTGGCCTGTGTGTCTGTTTTTATACTAATACCATGCTATTTTGGTTATGATAGCCCTGTAACACATTTTGAAGTCAGGTCAGGTGATGCCTCTAGCTTTGTTGTTTGTGCTCAAGATTGCTTTGGCTATTCAAGCTCTTTTTTGGTTCCATACAAATTTTTGGATTGCTTTTTCTAATTCTGTGAAATATGACATTGATATTTGAATGGAGATTGCATTGGATCTATAGATCACTTTGGGCAATATGGTAATTTTAATGATATGAATATGGTAATTAATTTTAAACGATATGACTAATATTCACTTTTAGTAATATGTTAATGATATTAATTATTTTAAGAACATGAAAATATTAATGTGATTAATTATTTAATGATAATTAATTGTTTAATTTATGAACGAGACATCTTTTCATTTGTTGTGTCCTCTTAAATTTCTTTCATCAATGTTTTATAGTTTTTCTTGCAAAGCTCTTTCACCTCCTTTGTTAAATTTATTCCTAGTTTTTTTTCAGTTATTGTAAATGGGATTGCCTTCTTTATTAAAGAAATAAAGAATTCACTAGGTCACTATTCATGTATAAAAATGCCATTGATTTTTGTGTGTTGATTTTGTATCTTACAACTTTACTAAATTTATTTGTAGATTTAAGAGGTTTTTTTTGGTGGAGTCTTTAGGTTTTTCTAGATGTAAGATTATATCATCAGCAAAGAGTGACAATTTGATTTATTCTTGTCCAGTTTGAGTATCTTAGTTTTCTCTTGTTTGATTGCTCTGGCTGCGACTTCTATTACTACATCAAATAAGAACGGTGAAAGGGAGAATCCTTGTCTTGTTCCAGTTCTTAGATAAAAGGCTTTCAGGTTTTCCCCATTCAGTACAATGTTAGCTGTGGGTTTGTCATAAGTGGCCTATATTATGCTCAGGTATGATCTTTCTTTGCCTAGTTTCTTGAGACTTTTTTTATCATGGGGGAATATTGCAAAATAATTTTTCTTCATCTATTGAGATGATCATATTGTTTTTGTCCTTTTTTTTTTTTGATGTGCTGTTGGTTTTGGTTTGCTAGTATTTTGTTTAGAATTTTTGTATCTGTGTTCATCAGGAGCATTTTACTGTAGTTTTCTTTTTTGTTGCATCCTTGTCTGGTTTTAGTATTAGGGTAATGCTGCCTCATACAATGAGTTAGAGAAAATTTTCTCTTTTAATTTTTTTGAAATAATTTGAGGAAATTGATGTTAGTTCCTTTTTGAAAGTTTGGTGGTATTTTTCAGTGAAGCCATCCAATTCTGGGATTTTCTTTGTTAGGAGGCCTGTTATTGTTGATCCAATCTCATTACTCATTATAAGTGTGTTCAAGTTTTTTATTTCTTCCTGATTCAAGTCTTGGTAGGTGATATGAGTCTAGAAATTTATTCATTTCCTCTAGGTTTCCTATTTGTTAGTGTGTATTGCTCATAATAGTCTCCAATAATCTTTTCTAATTCTGTGGTATCAGTTGTAATGTCTCCTTTTTCATTTCTGATTTTATTTATTTGGGTCTTCTCTCTTTTTCTCTTGGTTAGTCCATCTAGCAGTTTATTGATTTTGTTTATCTATTAAAAACATTTCATTTCATTGATTTTTTGTTTTTTAGGTCTCTATTTCATTTAGTTCTGCTTTGATCTTTATTATTTCTTCTACTAATTTTGAATTTGTTTTGTTCTTGTTTTTCTAGTTCATTGAAGTAAATCATTAGATTGTTTATTTAAAATCTACTTTTTTCTATATGTGTTTATTTCTATAAAATTCCCTCTTAGCACTGCTTTTGCTGTCTCCCACAAGTCTTGGTATGTTGTGTTTCCATTTTATTTCTTTCAATAAATCTTATTTCCTCCACAATTCCTTTCTTGATCAAATGGCCTTTGAGGAGTGATATGGTTTGACTCTGACCACACCCAAATCTCATCTTAAATTGTAGTTCCCATAATTCCCACACGTCATGGGAGAAACATGGTGAGAGGTAATTGAATCATGGGAGCAGGTCTTTCTCATACTCTTCTCATAATAGTGAATAAGTCTTACGAGATCTGATGTTTTTAAAAGTGGAAGTTGTCCTGCACAAGTTTTCTCTCTTGTCTGCTGTCATGTAAGACATGCCTTTCACTTTCTGCCTCCTCAGCCACGTGGAACTATGAGTCCACTAAACTTCTTTTTCTTTATAATTAACCAGTCTCAGGCAGTCTTTATTAGCAGTGCAAGAAAAGACTAACAGTAAATTGGTACCAGGAGTAGGGTGCTGCTGTATAGATACCTAAAAATGTAAAAGCAACTTTGGAACTGGGTAACAGGCAGAGGTTGGAACAGTTTGGAGGGCTTAGAAGAAGACAGGAAAATGTGGGAAAGTTTGGAACTACCTAGAAACATATTGACTGGCTTTTACCAAAATTCTTATAATGATATGGACAATGAAATCCAGGCTGTGGTGGTCTCAGATGGAGATGAGAAACCTGTTGGGAACTGGAGTAAAGGTGATTCTTGTTATATTTTAGCAAAGAGACTTGCATCATTATGCCCCTGCCCCAGAGATTTGTGGAACTTTGAACTTGAGGGAGATGATTTAGGGTATCTCGTGGAAGAAATTTCTAAGCAGCAAAGCATTCAAGAGGTGACTTTGGTGCTGTTAAAAGCATTTAGTTTTAAAAGGGAAGCAACATAAAAGTTCAGAAAATTTGCAGTCTGACAATGCAATAGAAAAGAAACTTCCATTTTCTGAGGAGAAATTCAAGCCAGCTGGAGAAGTTTTCTTAAGTAACAAGGAGCCAAATGTTAATTGCCAAGACAGTGGGGAAGATGTCTCCAGGACATGTTAGAGACCTTTGCAGCAGCCCCTCCCACCACAGGCCAGGAGGCTTAGGAGGAAAAAGGGGTTTCCTGGGCCAGCTCCAGGGACCCCTGTTATGCACAGTCTATTGGTGCCCTGAGTCCCAGCCACCCTAGCCATGGTTAAAAGGGACCAAGGTACAGCTCAGGTCATAGCTTCAGATGGTGCAATCCCCATACCTTGGCAGCTGCCATGTGGTGTCGAGCCTGCAGGTGAACAGAAGTCAAGAATCGAGGCTTGGGAACCTCTGCCTAGATTTCACAGGATGTACAGAAACACCTGGATATCCAGGCAGAAGTTTGCTGCAGGGGTGGGGCCTTCACAGAGAACCTCTGCTTGGGCAGTGTGGCAGGAAAATGCGTGGTTGAAGCCCCCACACAAAGTCCTTACTGGGACACTGGCTAGTGGAGCTATGAGAAGAGGGACACTGTCCTCCAGACCTCAGAATGGTAGATCTACCAACAGCTTGCACTGAGCACCTGGAAAAGCCACAGACCTTCAACACCAGCACGTGAAAACAGCTAGAAGGGAGGTTGTACCTTGCAAAGCCACAGGGGTGGAGCTGCCCAAGATCATGGGAACCCACCTCTTGCATCAGTGTGACCTGGATGTGAGACATTGAGTCAAAGTAGATCATTTTGGAGCTTTAAGATTTGACTGCCCCATGGGATTTCAGACTTGCATGGGGCCTGTAGCCCCTTCATTTTGGCCAATTTATCCTATTTAGAATGAGTGTATTTACCCAATGCTTGCAACCCCATTGTACCTAGGAAGTAACTAACTTGCTTTTGATTATACAGGCTCACAGGCAAAGGGGACTTGGCTTGGCTCAGATGAGATTTTAAGCTGTGGACTTTTGAGTTAATGCTGAAATGAGTTAAGACTTTGTGGAGCTGTTGGGAAGGCATGATTGGTTTTGAAATGTGAGAACATGAGATTTGGGAGGGTCCAGGGGCAGAATGATATGGTTTGACTCTGACCCTACCCAAATCTTAGCTTAAATTATAGCTCCCATAATTCCCATGTGTCATGGGAGAAACCCAGTGGGAGGTAATTGAATCATGGGGGTGGGTCTTTCCCATGCTGTTCTTGTGATAGTGAATAAGTCTCATGAGATCTGATGGTTTTATAAATGGGAGTTTGCCTGCACAAGTTTTCTGTCTTGCTTGCTGCCATGTAAGACATGCCTTTCATTTTCTGCCATGATTGTGAGGCCTCCCCAGCCACATGGAACTGTGAGTCTATTAAACCTCTTTTTCTTTATAAATTACCCAGTCTCAGGTATGCCTTTATTAGCAGAGTGAGAACATACTAACACAAGGAGCATGTTGCTTAAATTACATGTATTTGTACAGTTTCCAAAGTTCCTCTTGATTTCTAGTTTTATTCCACTGTAGTCTCAGAAGACATTTGATATGATTTCAGTATTATTCAATTTGTTGAGACTTGTTTTGTGTCCTAACATATGATCTATTTTGGAGAATGTTTCTTGTGCTGATAAATGGAATGTGTATTCTGTAGTTGTTGGATGAAATGCTTTGTAAATGCCTTTTCGGTTCATTTGGTTAAATATGCAACTTAAATTCATTTTTTATTTTTACTTTTCCTTCTGGATGATCTATCTAATGATGAAAGTAGGGCGTTGAAGTCTCCAACTACTATTGTATTGGAGTCTCTCTCTCTCTTTAGATGTAATAATATTTTTTGTATATGGATGCTCTGATGTTGGTGCATATATGTTTATAATTTTTATATCCCATTGCTGAATTTCTCTGTTGTTATTATATAATGACCTTCTTTGTCTCTTTTTACTGTTTTTGACTTAAAGTCTGTTTTGTCTGATATAAGTATAGTTTTTTCCTGCTCACTTTGGTTTCCATTTGCCATAGAGTATATTTTTCTATTCCCTTACTTTCAGTCTACACGCTTCTTTCCTGGTAAGATAATTTTCATAGGCAGCATATCATTGGGTCATATTGTTTATTCTACTCAGCTAGTCTATATCTTTTAAGTGGGAAGTTCAATGTATTTACATTTAAGTTTATTATGGATAGATGAGGGCATATTCCTGTAATTTTATTAATTGATTTCTGGTTGTTTTGTATATTCTTTGTTTCTTTCTTTCTCTCTTGTTGTTTATTATTGTGGTTTGCTGGAATTTTGTAGTGGTAACATTTGAATATTTTCTCTTCCTTATTTGTTTGCTAAATCAGTGGTTTTTACATTTTCATGTATTTTAGTGACAGTAATCTTTCTTTTGCTACCAGGCATAGGACTCCCATAGGACTCCCTTAAGCATTTCTTGTGGGATCAGTCTAAAGGTGATAAATTTGCTTATTTGGAGAGGACTCTATTTCTCCTTTATATATGAAGGATAACTTTGTTAGGCATAAAATCCTTGGTTAGTAGGTTTTTTTTTTCAGCACTTTGAATACATCATACTATTATCTCATGGTCTGCATGGTTTCTGCTGAGAAATATGCTGTTAGTCTGATCAAAGTTCCTTTATAAGTGACTAGATGCTTTTCTCTTGCTGTTCTTAGAATTTTGTCTTTTTCTTTGACTTTTGACATTTTGAGTACAACGTGCCATGGAGACCTTCTTAAATTGTATCTATTTGTGAATCTTTGAGACTCCTGTATCTTGATGTTCCCAAATAACTTGCTAGACTTGGGAAGTTTTTAATCTATTATTTCATTAAATAGGTTTCTAAACCTTTTGTTTTCTTCTTGTCTTCTGAGATACCACAAATTTGAGTACTTGGTCACTTTCTGGTTCCCCATATGTCAGATAGGCTTTGTAATTCTTTTTTATTCTTTTAAAAAATTTTTGCCTGAGTTATTTCAAAAGGCCCATTTTTAAGTTTTGAGATTTTTTGTCTGCTTGATCTAGTCTATTGCTGAAGATTTCAAATGTATTTTGTATTTTATTTAATGAATTCTTCAATTTTAGAATTTCTGTTAGGTTCTTTTTTATGTTATCTATGACTTCAGTAATTTTAAAATTCACATCCTGATTTTTTTCTGATTTTTTATATTGTTTTCAGTCATCTCTTTTATCTCACTGAGATTCTTGAGTATCAATATTTTAAATTCTTTTTTGGGGATTTGGCAAATTTCTTTTTGATTTGGATCTCTTGCTGGAGAATTTTTATGTTCCTTCAAAGGTGTTGTATTAATTTCATGTTTCCTGTGTTCTTCCATTGATATCTGCACATCTGGTGCAATAGTTGCTTTTTCCAATTTTTTGAATTTGTTCTCATGGGTGTGGAATTTTTCCTGAAGATATATCTATGGTATTGGTTGGTTAGGGCACTGTGGCTTGGATCGTGGGTGCATACAGTGGTGTAGTGTCTCTATGACTTATTTAGCTGTACAATGTCAGTGGTTTCTGTGATTTCCTCAGTGGCTTATGGTGTAGTAGTTAGTAGAGGCTGTGGTGAAGTTTGGGTAGGAACTGGAATGCCAGGTGAGCTAGTCTTTGGGCCTGGGTGGTGATGGCAGTGGGATAATCATGCCTGTTCATGGCCCCATGGTGACGTACGCTGGCACTGATTTTAACTTGTGCAAGCAGGCTGATTCTTGGGGCTCCAGGTGACTTGCTTGGGTACCAGCAGTGGCAGGGAGGGTGGGCAGGTTCTTAAGCACCTGGGCGTCAGGCGTGGCATGGGCAATGACAGTAATAGTGGCAGGACAACCCTCTGGGACCCAAGCAGTCCACGGTGATGTTGGCAGTTGCTGCAATGCGCTGTACAGGCCTGCAGGTGGCACATTCATGTGATGCTATCTGTTGTAGCTGCAGGTTGAGTGGGCTTGACCTCAGACCCCAACAGTAGTGTGCTCAGGTGCCAAACACTGTTAGGCTGGGCTGGGTGATTTCCAGGCCTCAAACGGTGTGCCGAGTACTGGAGTTGGTGGATCTGGGCTGGGCAGTCTCCCCAGTGGTGCATTCAGGTATTGGCTTTTGTAGGGAGAGACAGGGTGATCCCTAGGCCCCCAGAAGAATGCTTAGATGGGGCAGCAGTGACTGCACTGTGGCCCTACTACTGAGGAGGGTGGAGTTGCTTTCAGTGGAAGCAACCTTAGGCATGTTGCTGGGGACTGTGCATATTGCTTGTGCCTCAACCTTGCACCAGCCTGCAATGGAGGCAGCTGCGAGCTGTGGAATTTTTCCTTGGGGCACTTAAAAGTGTGCAGCCATCCCTCCGCAGGTGAGATGCAGGGGTCTCTGCCCATGGTTCCCACCTTGATCCCAGGAGTAGCAGCGGTAGGTACAGAATGTCAGTGGGGCTTCAGGGATGTGGAGATGCAGAAGCTGTTAAGCCCTAGGGCAGGACAGAGACTGGTGGAGGCTGGGCTCTCAAAATGATGCTGTATTGCAGCTGCACAAGACTCTGGGGGTTGTGGGACCCAGCATGAGCTCCCTCTAGAGCAGTGCCTTTGTGTAGTCCCCAGGAAGTTCCCTATGTAAGTTTCGAACCTTACTAGGGTTGAGCTCCTTTCCTATGGCTAGAGTTGTAGGAGTCTTGGGTGAAAATGAGGACCACTGGGGGGCTTTTCGCTTACTCTTTCCCCACATTAGGGAACCTCTTCAGGCTGCCAGCAGATCCCAGCTGAACAGGCTACATTGCTTCCCTCTCTTTCCTTGCTTCTGGTGCTTCCTATAACTGTTCTGTTGAATTCTAGTGTTCTCAAATGAGCTATTCAAAGTAATTATATACTCACTAATTTGGTTCCTCTCCGTGGAAGAGGTGAATACCAGATGCATCTAGTCAGCCATCTTGAAGCCCCTCTTCTATTTCAATCCTTTCCAATTTTTCAAAACCGAAAATACATTTTTTTTCTTTATACAACAGATGGTTCATGTAGCCTCTTAAAGAACATATCTCCCTTATAAAAGCCATGCTGCTTTTCTCCTACAGGTGATGACAATGCTTCTACACTTTATTATAGAGGCCAATATTTACCCCATCCACTGCCACACACAATATATCTTCTTTCCCATTTAGCTTTTGGTTTACATGCTTGAATTGACTGTGACAATTCTCTGTGGGCCTCTTACATTTCTGTACATCTTGTGAGGACAGGCACTGATGATCCATTGATCTATATGATTTCAAAGATATTTGTATAGGGAACAGCCTTGAAACACAGAGACAGAGACAGTGTCTCCCTGTGGAGCAAAGAGCAGGCAGGCATACTGCATATTATAGCAGATTTAGTCTCCCTAAGCCCAGGATTGCACATTTCTAATATAACTCACTGTACTTCCCATATTCAAGTAAAATACTGCAGATTTACATTTTCCAGAAGGGTTTGAAAGTTGGAGAAGAAGTGCAGTGTAGACAATGAGGAGATTAAGAAAATTCTACAAACCATGCGGAGAGACTTTCCTCCAGTCTCCTTTTCCTTCTTTGACTCCCACAATTCTGGCAACAAGGTTTACAACCACCAGAAAGAACATTAAAGGAATTCTTCCTAGGGAAAAGAAGAATTCTGAGAGAATAAACTTATAGATACTGACGTCTGGGTGCTTCCTAATGAAAACTACTTGCCATTGTATTGCTGTCAATACAAGAAACACACCCAGAACTTTCAATTGGCTTATTAGAGCTTTTTTATTAGATATGAATGGACAGCCAAGGTGGTTTCTAACATTAAAAGCCACACTACATCTGTAATCCCAGCAGTTTGGGAGGCTGAGGCGAGTGGGTCACTAGGTCAGGAGTTCAAGACCAGCCTGGCCAAGATGGTGAAATCCCATCTCTAATAAAAATACAAAAAATTAGCCGGGTGAGGTGGCAGGTGCCCGTAATCCCAGCTACTCAGGAGGCTGAAGCAGGAGAATCGCTTGAATCCAGGAGACGGAGGTTGTATTGAGCAGAGATCATGCCACTGCACTCTAGCATGGGTGACAGAGCAAGACTCCATCTCCAAAAAAAAAAAAGCCACACTGGAACAAGCAAACAGAAAAAATTTAAAAGTTGGAAAAAAATAGAGATAATGCATTAAAGAGGAAATAATTTAATATTTATATATGTGTTAATATGCACATACATATGATTTAAATGCATGTAAATATGCATATATGTATATGTGCATATATGTGTATACATGTACATGAATATACATATATTCAAATTAAGTATGTATTATATATAAATATGTAAATATATAATATAAATATATAAGTATACATATATGTATATTGAAATACATGTATGTGTGTGTATATATACATAGGATGTGTATGCACACATGTTTAATATCCTCAATGAGATGAAAGAACTGAGTGTGTCCGTGAAATAAAAACAGGCTTCTACAAAAAGAAAACTTTGGAAAATAAGACAATTTCTTTCAATGATACATTAACAAATTGGAAGATAATTTTGAGGAAGCCTTCTAGAAAATGTAATAAAAAGATTAAAAAGTTAGGAAATAAGAGACAAAACAATGTGAAGATTGATAGAAGAGGTAGAATGTCCAACAAATATGAGTTCCAAACAGAAAAATAGAGGAAGAACAGCATCAAGGAAAACAGTATTTCAAAATACTTGAAAAATATAAATTGCCAGATTGAGTAACTAACATAGCAAGAAAGAAAATAAGAAAGGAACACACATTGAAGAGTACCATCATGTCACATCAAAATTCTAGGGATAAAGAAAAATGCTAAGAGTTTCCAGACAAAGAAAGGGAGAAAAACACATCGTGTTAAAAGACTGAGACTTTAAATGAAATTAGACTTTTCAACAATTACACTAGAATTTGGTAAACAATGAAACAATGCCTTCAAAATTGTGATATAAAATTATTTCTAAAATAGATTAATACATCCAACAAAATACAACATATGTGGATACAATAAACATATTTTTAGAGAAGTGGACGTTTCAAAAAATTTACATCCCATGTTCTTGTTCTCAGATAGTTATTGAAGAGGTTCTCCATCAAAATGAGGGATCTAGGAAGCAGGGAAACTAACACAGGTGAGAGACAAGAAAATCCCAGCATTTTGGTGAGGAAAAGCTCCAGCACTATAATCATGCAGCAGTCCTAAAGAACAATCAAATTCAGATTTCAGGAGAGTAAAGAACTTCAGAATGGTGGTATTAGGCCAAAAAGAAACAAAATAACTAGAAGGCTAAATAAATAACTAAATAAATATGACCTGGGGAGATTATCTCATGTATTTGACTGTATCTAACTGTATCTATAGAGAAAAGGCTTTATAGTTCTGATGGAGAGTTTGAGAATTGATTCAAGATACTCGAAAACTTAATAACAGAGTTCAATTACAAAAAATTAGCAAGAAAAAAATTGCAAAGAAAGAGATAGGAACTTATAGTAAGCTGCATGGCTCAGTTGTGAAAAATATGTTCATATCATAATAATGTATGTTCTGAAAATAGATTTAATTTTTACTGAAAGGATGACAGGAGAAGTATGTGGGTGTGTTTGTGTTCATGTACACAGAGATGGTGTTGTAAATGAGCTAGGAAGTCAAGAGAGAATGCCTAACATTTAGAAATCAAGAAATATCATTATGTGCATATTTTATACAATATAACAGAAACATAAAGATGCATAACATAAGAAACAGGTAAAAGAACTGAAAGTGGCTGCCTCCAAAAGGCAAGAATTATGTGTGAATAATAACTAACTTTTAAAATAATGTAGTGCTATTTCACATCTTAAATTCTATATTTGGATTATTTAGCAAAAATAAAATTAAACTGTAAAAATTAAGGATGAATGCTGGAGAAATAGAAATGGTGGATATCTAACTGCATAGTGTGCATAGTAAACAATGGAAACAAATTTTAAAAAACAATTAACCAAAAGGCTGGCTAAGAAACAAGTAGATATTAGGAAAACCTAGTAAATAAAAAATATAAAATATGGTGTAAGTAATATTCAAAAATTTATTTAATTACAATAAATATGAATGGATTAAGCTAATTAATGGAAACACAGAGGCTCTCAGACTGAATTTTAATAATCTACCACTTCAATTTTTTAAAATGTATATTAAAATGACAAAAAGTTGGAAAATAAAGAGGCTGAAAATGGTATTCGAGCAGATGAAAACAAAAAGAAAATTGTTGTAATATTGCTCATAACAAACAAAATATTATTTAAAGTGAAAACAACTAAGGAACTTATGATGTTGATAAAATAATTCACCAGGAAGATACTCCATTTATGAATGTATAAGGCCCTAACAACTTAGTTTTAAAATGTACTATGCAAAAACTGATAAAACTACTAAGATAAATTGACAAACACACAATCATAGCTGGAGACAACATTTTTTTTTTGAAACTAACAAAACATTCAATGGTTTAGTAGGACTTAAAAGAGTTGTAGCAATAATTAACAGGCCTAATCTAAAGCTCAAACCTTCATAAAGAGAATGTTCACTCTTTTGATCCCAAAGGATGTCTCAATATTGATATTATGTAAATATTTTTTTCATGGACCACAATGCAATAAAATAAGAAATCAACCAAAAAAGAAGTAGCCAAACTCTTCTCCATTAACCTTCAAAGATCTATATACATCATAGATATTTAATAAACACGTGTATAGCACTTACTATATGTTAACCATTATTCTAAGCACTTTGAAATATTTACTCATTCAGTCTTTAATACTGCTTGAGATAGGTAGTATTATTCCTCTCAGTATACAAATAAAATTGAAGCACAGAGAGACTGAGCAATATATCTAAGGTTATGTAGTTAGTGAGTGGCAGAGAGAGACAAGTGCTCTTGACTCCTGTATTAAGCTTTTTCTCTTAACATAAGCATTTAAATAAACTATGAGTTAAAGAAGAAACAAAAATAAAATTTTAAAATATATACTACTACGGCTTCACAAAAAGACTACAAAACTAATGACTTACATCCAAAGCAGTTCTCAGAACTGCTTTATATATTTACTGGAAAATAATAAATGAATATTTAAATTCAAAAAGTTTCCAAAAGAGTAGCAAATCTAGAGAAGGTAAAAACAAATAATTATGATGAATTTAAATGCAAAAATAAAGAAAACTAAAAAAATAGATATTTTATTTTTTAAGTTTGGATAGTTGAAGAGATTAATTAGAAATGAAACCCCTAACAGCCATGATCAACAAAAATCAAAGAGACACAAGAAACATTATCAAGTAGGATACAAGGACAGATACGGAGGAACAAAATACTTATAAAAGCACATTTTGAACAACTTTATACTAATTTATTTTTAAAAGGTATATAAAATGGGCAGATTTGGAGAAAAGGATATATTACCATAATTAGACAAGAAATAGAAAATGTACTAGAATAAAAACCCCATAAAACAGGAAACGCTAGTAGTGAAAAACCTACTCTTTCCAAAAAACAAAGACACAAAAAACAACATCATGCTCAGAGGATAGAAAGGTGTGAGATTTAGCCAGCATTTAAAGAGGCTGCTAATTGCAAACCTTTCATACCAAAAATAGCCAAGTTGGAAAAGATAATTATCGGCCAATAATGGATAGATGAAAAAATAGTAAACTGAATTCAGCAGTATATACAAAGATCAAGTAGGGGTTTCCGTTAAAACGTATGAATGAGCCAATATTTTAAAAATTTCTTAATGTAATTCACCCCTAACAACTTAGAGAATAAAAAGCATATGATTATGTCAATGAATGCAGAAAAGAAACTAGCTGAAAATTTAACAGACCATTTATGATAAACTTGCAAACAAACCAGGAATAGAAGGGAACTTCCTTATATCTGCCAGAGATCTATAGCAAGCATCATGTTTAATGGTTAATAAAACATGAAAAACATTTAAAGTCCGAAAAAAAGACAAAAATGTATCTATAAGTGTTAGTATTGAATATTATATTTCATAACCAAATGCAATGTGAAGAGAAATAAATGAGAGAGATAAAAATCAGAACAGAAAAGAGAAAACTGTCAAAATGTGCAGATGATGTAGTCGTCAATACATTTTTCTCCTTTGTCAGAAAAAAACCTACATTCATCCTAGATTTTCTTAGCCTTTTCTCCCTAAACCCATCTTTCTTCAGATAAACACACAATAAAACTTATATTTTAAAAAGTCAGTCACTTTTCTGTTCACAATTTCAGTATCGGGTTTCCTTTTCTTTCTCATAGGTTTCAATTCCATTCTATTTCTAATTTCAAAGAGCTACATATTTAAATAGCTACCAGGAGAACTATAAAGAAGAGACATTGACAAAAAAGGCCCAAGATTAATGATTATTTCAAGGTCTCGATAAGACTTGCTGCCCAACTTTAAGCCTTCCTTTAGCTGCTCCCTAAAGGATTTCAAACAGTCCTAACGAAGTTATGCACTGGCCATTCTCAAGCAGTGATAAATATGCCGTAAATTCATCTCTTGCCTGTGGGACTTTGGATCTTAATAGCTTATGAGCTCAAGTACTTCCAGTTTCTGTTGGGTAAATGTTTGAGGGCCTTAAGAGAGATTATGTGGAATTGAACTGAATGCCTGGCAACTCTTCCATGCTTGTCAGTCTCTCCCAGCTTACTTGGCTTGTCAAAGACACCACAATAAACTGTCCTGCTTTCAAATATTTATTTCTCAGTATGCTGGTACTTAGAGAGTCCTTAAGAGAAAGATACAAACTGGGCACCAGAACTAGGAATTACTGAAGAGCCCAAGTCTTAGGGTATCCTGGGGGATTTGATATCCAATTCTCTTCCAACCTTCAGAAAGGCCCATCTTGGGCTCACCTTCTAAAAGGAAAGCAAGGTTGGGTCAGTTGATGGACTAAGTTCTGGAGAGAGAAAGAGGGGGCTACAGAAATTACTTCAGTAAAGCTCTTCCTTCTGATCTCCTCAAGGAGAAGGTGCTCAGCTTTTTGTGGGTAACACACAGGGGTAGCCAGGTACTGCAAAGCAGGCAAAACTGGCTTACACTACAGGTGTAGTGTTCCCAGTTTCTGCTGTATTCCATGTTCCTAGCATGTGAGAGACATTCTTTGAGTATTTGCTGAAGAAATCAGTAAATGAATGAGTCATGGTTCCCACAACATTCAAACTGAAGAGACCTCAGAGGTAGGTCCTTCAGCAGTTAGGACAGAGAGACCCTGGAGTGTGAGTGATTTGTCTCATGACGCTGCATCCTTAAACATGATTGGTTCTGAGGCCCTCCCCATAATGCGATCATGAGGCATGAGTCCTCTTCAACCACGGAGCAGTCCAGGACCTTATGCTGATGCAAAGACTTCATTCCTGTGGGAAAAACCAAGATTGTCGAAGTACTAGTTGTATGATTGTTGATGAGTCACTTTTATAATGAGTTCCCCAGACATCAGAGTGTTTGGATTGTGCTATTGCTGCCTTGCAGACAGTCACTGTGGTTTTGGGGAGAGGGACCCCAGAGTCCTAGGGCACAGGAGAATGGTCCTCTTGGGCAGCCAGCAATTCAGACTTAAAGGGACAGGGCAATGGGGAGGTGCAGGAGAGCCTGGTGCTGCTTTTTGTATGTTTGTTACTCCCAGATCTGACTGATCAGGGAGATAAATTAACTGAAAGGTCCTGGTAGGTTCTGTTTTATTTCTAGTCCTCCAGTTTGGAAGATTCTCTGTGTGCTGTGTCTGCCACAGTACAATGGGAGTCCTGGAAATTCTAGTTTCAAGCCTCACTCTCCTGAATCCTGAATAAGCCTCCATCCTGCCCAGTGATATGTAAGTCACATTTCAGGACTTGATGCAGGGATTCTTGTTCTGTAACTAAATGTGACCTCGTGGCCCTCATCTCATAACCTCATGACCCTCATCTCTCTCTTTTATCTCCTGAGATAATTATCAAGTGGAAAAAATGAATATACAGCTGTGTCACAAAACTTAGGAATCAAAAGCATAAATAGTGAAAAAAATCACCGAGAAAGGATAATCTGGGTACCAGCCTTAAGGAAGGCAAAGCTTCCAAAGCCTAAATGCCTTATCCAGCATATTCTCATTGAAATGCTGTCCAGTCTCCGCAGCCCTCAACAAACCATCTCCATCCCAGATTGTGACACTCAGCATTTCTTCATAGCAGTCTCTGAGATAGATATTAGCACAGTCTTCATCTTACAAGTGAAGAAATTGAGGCCTAGAGAGGTGATAACTGTTTCCAAGGTCATATATGAGTAAGTGGGGCTTGGGTTTGATCACAGAGGTATTTAACTCCAGACTACCCTGCCCCCAATTCCCACACATTTCAAAATCTAGAGTTGGAAGAGAAGTGAGTATGGAAAGTAAAGACCGGACCTTTCAACAGGGATTGAAGAAATTAATGACAACAACCATCCATGAACATGAAAAAAAGAAAGAAAGCAAAAAAATTATGGTGTGTGTGTGTGTGTGTGTGTGTGTGTGCGCGCGCGCACATGTTTGGGTGGCCAAGCATACAAATGGAACCCAGAGTTATGGGGGGTGGGGATGGGAAGGAGACAGAAGAAGGGAGGAAAGCAGAAATTTAATTTAGTATTTGCCTGCTATGTATCAGGAACTGCACTTGGCAATTTACATACAGTAATTCATATGGTCTCCATAGTGACACTATGAAGTAGACATTATTATTCTATTTTGTAGATGAGCACATGGAGACAAATGAAACGAGCAAAGAAAATCAGGCATCCCTCCATTTACACTGGGGTTAAAGCCAGAGATTATTATGAACTTAAATATTTTGTTGTTTCTATTGCTGTTGTCTTATAGTTACTAGTGTTTTAAATCTATAAAAAACCTTCCAAGCCTACATTGTGTTTAGAGACTAAAAAATAGAAGCAGAAGCTACCCTCCACACGGAACGGGGAGACTCGGGTATTAAACGCATAATATTTGGGGATATTGGAAGAAAGCAGGACTGAAAAGAGAAGTGGCTACGCACCACAGAATGTTCTAGGTCAGCACACTGGACTATCCACACGGGAGAAAAGGAGTGTCTCCTCTCACTTCCTTATTCCAGACACTGGCCACTGTGAATTTGAACCTTGAGAGAAGGCAGTGCTTTCTACCTTGACTTACCAAATGGAAGCCCTTCTGAACAGAGATGGAGCAAGTTTTGAGGAGAGGGACTCCAGAGTCCTGGGACACAGGAGAATGGTCCTCTCTTGACTTCCCAGGAGTGCGCCTCACACAGCCATCTGTCCTTGGCTTGAACTCATTCACTCTTTAGGTATGTCCCTTTGCACTGGCCTTTGACGAGCAATGTGCCATTGGTGATTTAAACCAGGTGAGTCTGAGTAGAGTTTCAGGCCTGGGCACAGGTATTCAGTACTTTCTCTGGTCTACATCTACTTCTAGTCAAACCAGTTAGGGGTCTCCAATACATACAGTCGCTGACTTTATAATAGTGCGAGAGTGATATGCATACAGAAGAATTTATACTTCAAGTACCTATACAACCGTTTGGTTTTTCACTTTCAGTACAATATTCAAAAATTACCTATGATATTCAACACTTCATCATAAAATAGACTTTGTTTTAGGTGATTTGCCCAGTTGTAGGCTAATGCAAGTGTTCTGAATACATTTAAGGTAGGCTAGGATAAGCTATGATGTTCAGTCAGGTGTATTAAATGCATTTTTAACACGATATTTTCAACATATGATGGGTTTATCAGGATGTAGCCTCATCATACATTGAAGGGCATCTGTACTCCCTTTACACATTTACTTCCTGTCAACAGACACATACTACATCTGTCCCCCAGTCTCAGGGCCCAGAGAACCTTGATGGGTCCTTCAGTACTTGCCTGTGTCTGAATGTTGAGAGCATCTGAAACCCAGAGCTACATGCCATTTCAGTGCCTGCACATGGCTGATGACGATCCTGGACCAGCCTACTGTTTCCAGCCTGGATGCTCAACATTCCCACTTCATCTCTTTCAGACTCAGATTCTCCTCAATGCCAAGGCCCAATTTCATGGCTGTGACAGAGTTTACATTTGAGGGTTTCTCCATTTTTGAGTGGCATCACAGACTCATCCTCTTTGTGATCTTTTTGGTCTTGTACGTTTTGACCCTTGCCAGCAATGCTATCATCTTGATAGTTATCCGCCTTAACCATCAACTTCACACGCCCATGTATTTCTTCCTGAGTGTGCTGTCTATTTCTGAGACCTATTATACCGTGGCCATCAACCCCCAAATGCTGTCCGGTCTCCTCAGTCCTCAACAAACCATCTCCATCCCAGGCTGTGCCGCTCAGCTCTTTTTCTATCTCACTTTTGGTGTCAATAAATGCTTCCTGCTCACAGCCATGGGGTATGACCACTATGTGGCCATCTGCAACCCTCTACAGTATTCAGTCATCATGGGCAAAAAGGCTTGTATACAACTGGTCAGTGGATCCTGGAACATTGGCCTGAGCACAGCTATCATTCAGGTGTCTTCTGTATTCAGCCTTCCCTTCTGTGATGCTAATCTCATCTCCCACTTCTTTTGTGATATCCGGCCCATAATGAAGCTTGCCTGTGCAGACACTACTATCAAGGAGTTTATTACTTTGCTCATCAGTCTCTGTGTCCTTGTTCTGCCCATGGTATTGATCTTCATCTCCTATGTCCTAATTGTCACCACCATCCTCAAGATTGCATCAGCTGAGGGCAGGAGAAAGGCCTTTGCTACTTGTGCCTCACACCTCACAGTGGTCATTGTCCACTATGGCCGTACTTCTTTCATCTACCTAAAACCCAAATCCCAAAATTCCCTGCAGGACAGACTTATCTCTGTGACATACACTGTTATTACTCCTCTGCTGAACCCTGTTGTATACAGCCTGAGGAACAAAGAGGTCAAGGATGCCTTGCTCAGAGCTTTGGGCAGAAAGCCTCTCTCTTAGGTGCTGGTCAGTTCAATAACAATCAAAGAAAAAGAGTTTGATGAGGTGTCACAGTGAGAGGGACAATAAGATGAGAGATACTGTGAAAGCACCAGGTGGCTGATCTAGGCAGCATCTAGGAATCTATTCCCCTCATAGATTGAAAAAAGAAAGAAAAATATTAATGAAAAAAAGAAATAGATGGATTTGCCAAGTCAGATATATGGGTTTACCAAGCTTGATGAAAATCAAATAAGATAAAGCATATCCATGCACTGCACTATAATGTTAGACATTATTCCTGTTACTCTTGTCATAAGGTATTGTAAACCAGCAGGGAGAATAGGAAGAATATATACTATCATATCATAGGAGTTTATGTAAGGTGAACTTGACTTCATGAATGACACAAAGGGTACAAAAGGCCACCACCACCCCTTGTCTGAAGATGGGACCAACTCTAGGGCACAATTCTAGATCCCTCCATTAGATCAGGCTGAAGTTATGCTCCAGCTAAGACTGTGTTCTTGCATAGTGATTCCCCTGCCCCATCCTGCTTCTCTCATTCCCTTTCCTCTGAGGGCACTCCTTAGTCAATCACTGTACCCAAAACCTTATTTTAGGCTCTGCTTCTGCGGAACCTGACCTAAGCAAGGTGGTACCTATGTCTATGGGGCAATTATTCAGACTTCACTGCGAGTGCTCTTTTTGCATCTGTTGCATGTAGAACAGTGTCTGGTGCATAGTAGATGTTAGATATTTATTAAAAGGAAGAAAGAAGGAAGGAAGGAAAGAAAAAGCAAAGAAGACTGCTGTGAGAAGCTAAAATACATTAGAAGGTAGCTCTTCTCTCATTTTCCTTCTATTATTTTAACACTTTCAGGCTGTTTGTCCCTCTTTGTGACATCTCCTTTTGGTACATTTATTGAATGTATCCTAGATAGTAGTCATTATTTTAAGTATGTTATTAATTTAATCTTCACTATAAATCTATGAGATAGATATTTTATTATTCTTTTTTATGGATGAGGAAACTGAGACCTCAAATAAGTTAATTCCTCAAGGCAGAATCAGGATTTAAACACGTGCAACCCAGCCCTGAAGTCTGTAGTTGCATTGTAAGCTCATGATATTCATTTTAACCAGCTTTCTCCTCCATAATAACTAACTTATACTGTTCCATACTCCTAGGAAAAGGAGAAGGCTCCACCCCATCCCAAATTGTGGATTTACACATATCTCAGATCCTATTCATGATATCTTGGACTTTGGAATCAGTCTGGAAGTTTAGGAATAGTGTATTATAATACACTCCTTTTCATAAAATACTTTGGTGCATCCCTTTTTCACTCAGCACAACCCCAAAGAGGAAAATAGGAAAGGAAGTCTAAAGTGGGCCAACAACTACTGAAGAACAGTTATTGTTTACCCTGAACCCCAACTCTAAGAACCAATGACCTTGAGTAGGAGATGCTAAAACAGTATGATATTGTAGATAGAGTACAGGCTTTGAACAGAGAGGCATGCATTCCCAATCATAGATCTGCCATTACAAGCATGTGTCCTGTTATGATACTTAACCTCCCTGGTTTTTGTTTCCTATCTGCATGGTGAGTCGGACAATATCAACTCCCAGGGTTGCTGTGAGAAGTCAACAATGTTATGGACATACCATTCCCTGGCACATGGAAAGCTCTCAGTGCCTTCTCCACCACCACCCTACACAGACATTGCTCCCTGGGTCACTCTGAGGTCAACATCAAGTCACTCTTGATATGGACACAGAGCCCTAGCTTTAACAATAGGATTCTCATTTGTTCTTTGTCAATAGAATTCCCTTTTACCTAGGAGGTCTTGACTTTGTAACTGGGCTTCTCTTATAGTCCCTGATCCTATGTTCCAGTAAAAGGAAACTAACTATTCTCCGAGGGTCTTCCAAGTATTACTTCCTGGATATACCCAGGACATTATTTCAGGCTCTGCTTATGTGGAACTAGACCTAAGCAAAGTGGTGTCTATGTCTATGGGGCAATCACTCAGATTTCACTCCGAGTGTTCTTTTTGTGGTTAATAAACCACTAAGAGCACCTGTCTGCATTTCTCCTCCAGATTCCCTTTATTTATGCCCTCCTTACTGACCTGCCAAATACATCTCACAACATCATTCTCTCTTCTCTCCTAGTTGCCTCAGAGTCACTGCAAGAAGTCTCAGGGTTCCTGTGTGCATCAATTCTCACATGCAGTCTGAATAAATACTGACAAAAGCATCTACAAGTATTTTTTAAAGTACCATAATTCATTTGAAAGCACCAATTACTAATTCATAGTTCTCCTTTTCAGAACTTATTTTTCCTATCAATAGGTACAAATAGTACAACTATTATTATCCAAATATTATCAATTTGGAGATTCAAGAAATATTTGAATGTAAAAAGGGGTTTTCATACACAGACAGTTTGGACACGCCAGCTCTAGGTGACAGAAATAGTGTGGAAGATGGTGTGAGAGTAGATCTAACTTTAGGAACCTCAGTTAAATCTGTTTTGAGCCCTATCCGGGGCCCTGAAAGACTCCCATTGACAATTCCAAAGCCTTCTTAAGAGGTCTAGACCCAGGATCCTAAACTAAATTGAATGCCATAAACAAACTATAATAAGAACTACTGAAATCTGTTCCCCAAATAAAGCAGTCTGCAGAACTAGAAGATTTTGCATTAGGTTCTTTTGGCTGTTTTGCCAGCTTTGTTTCTATAGTCACTCCACATGTGTTCATTTTCTTCTAGCATAAAATCCCAATATATTTGCTATTGGTGGCAGATTGGACTTTCTGTACATCCCTAATCTGTAAAATTAGATACTGCTACTGACTTCGGAGGGTTATTTGGAGGCCTATGTGAGACAAAAATCTGTGAAAGTGTTTGATAAATATTAATTGCTACTGAAGTGGTATACCTGTCCTTTTTGCCAGATACCACATTTTTATATCATCAACCCAGTTCTCCATTTCTACAGTCTTCCTAATTTGTCCCAAAGCAATAGTATCATAAAGTCTTGAGCTCTTTAGCCCAATTCCACTCCTTTCCTGTTGAGATCTCGTAGCCACCAATGATATCTGATCATGAACCATTAATATGGAGATCATTTTCTTTGCTTCATCTGTTACAAGAAGAAGCTATGTATATTTGTAAATAATCAGAGAGTTGGCATGAATGAACCTGATGAGAGCAGTTTATGAAATTATTGGTTCTTTCCTCTCCTTTGAGCCACACATTGATTCAGTTACAAGCCCTATTGATTTCCCTCAAATGTCTCTCACATGTATCCCTCCCCTCTGGGCCAATTGCCACCCCTCTAGATCAGTCCCAATTATCTCTGTTACATCAGCAGCCTAGCTGGTTTTTCTTCCTCTTTTTGCCAACTTCAAATCCATCTTCACACCACTCACAGGTCAATGTACCAAATCCCAGTGCAGGGTATGGTGTTTTCTTTTTTTCAACAAGGAAGGAAAATCACCAGAAAGACCGGAAAAGGGAAAAAAATGGTTAGCGGTTTTAAAAAAAAAAAAAAGTATCACTTCCTTAAGACGCCACTTGCTAAGGAACTTTAGAGTCTAAGAACAGGAGAGATAAGCGAGAATCACTTGAGAGGCTCTTAAAAGTGATACATTCAAATACTCTTTTGTAATCTGTTCTCACTTTACCTATACAATGTAATTTTTCATAATCAACCTGAGTCTAATCAAGGACTGTCTCCTCCCTGTCTCACTTACAGTTACATTTCAGTTATTATGATTGTCTATCACCTGCAACTAAACCCTGAGCTCCTGGAGGGTTGGTGCAGCACCTCATCCATTTCTGTATTTCCAGCAACTAGCACAGGGCCTGACATATGCTAAGTGCTTAAAGAATGAATGGATGCAGATAAATAAATATCACATGAAAGACTAAGAAATTTTTAAAGAAGTAGTAAACAACTCATGGAAAGTATTCAGTGAGAAGTAAGTTTAGAGTTGGGTCTTGACAGACAGTTAGAAGCTTACCAAATAAAGGGAAGAAAAATCCGGGTAAAGAGAACAGTGTTCAAAAGCTAATTTGTTTCCTAGCCTCCAGGAGAGAATCTTTGGATCTAAAGATGGTGTGCTTCCAATCCTGAATGCCACAGGGCAAGGACAGGCAGCATGAACTGCCCTCTGCAGAATGACGACCATATTTAAATACTTCTTTTCCAAAAAGAAAACCAGATTCTTATACTAGATAGAGTTCCTGCCTATAAGCAAAAGGCCCTAAACTTCCTGAAATCCAAGGTGGTATGGCTCTAAGCTTGAGCTGCCTAGATTTTTCAATATGGATTTCTAAGATACATCTGTAAAAAAATAAAAAATAAAAAATAAACCACATGCACATATACACACTCACAATGTACTTATTCAAACAATTAAAAATCAACTAAATAAACCAGCTTCCTCAAATGTTATTTCAACTTGAAGCAAAAACTTTCCCCAGGCTCCCCAAGCGCTAGCCTGGAATTGAGTAAATGAGCCCTATACATAATGAGACCTCCAGGTACCTGATACCTGCATCCTCCCAGCCCCAGGGGGGTGGCTGTCAGAATGTCTTCAGGGAGTGACCCCCAGAAGCCCAGCTGCCTGATCCTGGGAGAGCATCTCCTCTGGCTTCAAAGACTTTTCCACACAGAGGGGTTATCAAGAATGCCTATGACTCTCAAACCTGACTATATTCCTACTAGTGTGTGTTTATGCCCTGCCTGCTCAGCCTCAGGTCCTGCCGTAGGCACTCTTGGTCACCTTGCTCACCTTGGTCACCCTATGCCTATCCATTGTGGCCAAGGGAGCCTGACATTTCAATCTTTACTCCTCGGCCTCCTCCAGCCCAGCTTTCCCGTTGTGCCTCAGTGCTAAGCAGAGTCATGTGAGTGGTCTTTAGAAGAAGGACTGAAATGGGGCTCATTACATATGAGCTGACTTTAATTTATTGTAGTATTTCAGGTCCTATCACAGCTGGACAGGTCTTCATAAGCTATATTTGCTCTTCCTTCCATTTCCTTTGAAGAATTATAGACTTCCAAGAGTGGGGAGGATGCTAACCAAATCATAATAGCCATTCTTCTACCTCAAGACAGACAAGTTTCAGCCAGATAAGATGATATTTTAGCCGTGTGTTTCTCAATGGGAACTTTATTGGTATTTGGAAGAAGGGAATTCTTCCTTGGGCAGAATCACCACAAGTTTTGCAGGACATTTCACATCGTGAATGGCCAAGAGCTTCTGTGCTCATTATTGTAACAGTTAAAAGCTCTGCCAAGCATTTCTGATTTCACCATAGAGGCACCATACCACTCCGTGGCTGGACTACTACATAGTTTTTGCTCAGAAGCCTCACAGAAGACAAATGTCTTTAGACATATATTTTAGTATCAAATGATTTTCTTTATTGGAAAATATTCTCTATTGCAGCTTTACTTTCTTTTTAGCATTCTTAGTGTAAATGATTAACAGCTGGTCATCAACTTCTTTTAAATAGATTTTTATGAACTTGAAGAAAGTCTCCGTGCGTACTAACCTTCATCATTGATGTGATTTACTTTATGCAAAACTTCTCTTTCTGAATATGCATAAGCAAATCAGAATATAATTTAAATACCCTAGAGAAGCTTACTGTTTAAAGAGATAAAAATGTGAAATATTACATAAATTGAACTGATCCCCTTCCTTCAACAAAATGATGTATCTTTGGTGTAGCTGTTTTTTTATATTCAGGGTTTGCTTTTGCTTTAGGTGAGGGACACTTAAATTTGCTGTATCTTTCCTGATACAATTGTTTATCTCTGCAGAGTGGGTGTAGGCTTACTCACAAAGTTGTATTGGCTATAAATTTGCCTTCTAGTTTAGGGAAGGTAAAGATGTAGC
Organism: Homo sapiens; assembly: GCF_000001405.40. Classification (NCBI taxonomy): domain Eukaryota; kingdom Metazoa; phylum Chordata; class Mammalia; order Primates; family Hominidae; genus Homo; species Homo sapiens. Next base: position 190,870 of record NW_025791759.1, read on the forward strand.
ATAGTTTATAACATACGTGAATCAGTGCTCTGAACTGTCAGCAGACTTCCATCACTCAGACAGAAGTGGGGAGAGGCTGGTGGTTGGCTAAGATTTTCCTTTTTCTTCTTGAAGACAAGATGAACCTTTCTACTTTGCTTCTAATTCTTAAAGGATGCGCAAGGAGGATGATTCATAGTCTTGAAAGAAAAGACATCACTAGTCCATCCCTAAACAAATTATTTTCAAGCACCCAATCCATGCATAATTTGGAGCTAGTGAAATATGAAAAGATGTAAAAGGTATTATAAAGTTGCTAAGTGTTTGTATGAGGTGAGGCAGCAATAATGGGGTAAAAATAATCCAAATAAACATGAGAACCTCTGAGTGTAATACGGTTTTATGAAGGCCTGAAAATGTGCACTCATCTCTGAAGAGTAGGAAAGAAATAAGAGGAGAAAAGAGAAGCCATTCCAGATGTCAGGGAGGAAGAGTAGATATGAAGTAGGAGCATGTATGGTTATACAGTGAAAAAGTGAGACTATATGATTCTATGATGCATGGAAAATTATAACAGATGGTCACAGAGTAAAAATATTTTAAGTAAAGATAAGTAAACCCAGGGATTAACTTAATCCACTAGGAAATACATCACCAGATTTGTAACTGAGAACTATTGAACTTCAATCAATTTCAGAAATGTGCTTCTACTGCTTTACTGGGACTATGTGACTTTTATGCTTTTATGTTTCAGATTTGGGAACCAATCCATGAAAAGAGAGAACTTTACTCTCATCACTGACTTTGTTTTCCAAGGTTTCTCTAGCTTCCATGAGCAGCAGATCACCCTTTTTGGCGTGTTCCTTGCACTATACATCTTAACCTTAGCAGGCAATATCATCATTGTGACCATCATCCGAATGGATCTTCATCTTCACACACCCATGTACTTCTTCCTGAGCATGCTGTCCACTTCAGAGACTGTATATACATTGGTCATTCTCCCAAGAATGCTCTCCAGCCTCGTAGGTATGAGCCAGCCCATATCATTGGCAGGGTGTGCCACACAGATGTTCTTTTTTGTAACCTTTGGCATCACTAACTGCTTCCTGCTCACAGCAATGGGATATGACCGCTATGTGGCCATCTGCAACCCCCTGAGATACATGGTTATTATGAACAAGAGGCTGCGTATCCAACTTGTCCTGGGGGCCTGCAGCATTGGGCTGATTGTAGCAATAACGCAAGTGACATCTGTATTCAGGTTACCCTTCTGTGCTAGAAAGGTGCCCCACTTCTTCTGTGACATCCGCCCTGTGATGAAGCTCTCCTGCATTGACACCACTGTCAATGAAATCCTGACTTTGATTATCAGTGTGCTGGTGCTTGTTGTACCTATGGGTCTGGTTTTCATTTCTTATGTTCTCATTATCTCTACAATCCTCAAGATTGCTTCAGTTGAGGGCCGGAAGAAGGCTTTTGCCACCTGTGCATCCCACCTCACTGTGGTCATTGTCCACTACAGCTGTGCCTCCATTGCCTACCTCAAGCCCAAGTCAGAGAACACCAGAGAACATGACCAGCTGATCTCGGTGACCTACACTGTCATCACTCCCCTACTGAACCCTGTGGTATACACCCTGAGAAATAAAGAGGTCAAAGATGCTCTGTGCAGGGCTGTTGGTGGGAAGTTTTCCTGACCATGTAGGAAGAGTTCTCCTGAGGCTGTCAACATCCACACTAGGCAGGAATATGAGGTGTAAACTCACAAACACTTGGCTCCTAGAGACCTGCCCCTTAAATAAGAGGCAAAAGAGGAATAGCAGTTTCATACAACTGGGAGTCTGAAGCTTTAAATAAAGTTACTGGATGGAGTGTTATCCCTATTTTTGGGGATAAATAGACAAACAAGGATAAGATATGCCTAAATAAAAGGCCAGAAAGTAGTATGGGCTGAGAATTTTTTACTGACCTTTTGGTTTCTTTGTGAATCTCCACCTAATGAAGGCAATAGAAAGCCCCTTGAGAAAATAGAATCCAAGACACACTTAAAATCTTTTTCCTATAATCCCTTTCTTCCTATACTAGAGCACCAGGGCTTCTGAAACTGGATTCCCTATTGGAGTATGTTTATGACATGTCAAGTAATAAGTTACTGTGTGGGGAGGGAAAGTGGCCTCAGGATTAGATAGCCCAGGAGAAATAGATGTTCTCTCCTGGATGTGTTAATTTATCCCAGATTCTAGCAAAACTGCTTATTAAAGATGGTGAGCATACACAGTTTAATTAGAGATGCTGGCAATTCTACAGTCATCATGACAGTGTTTTGAGGGCATAATCTGAGATACTCCTGGATCCTTTCAAATTTGGCTAAATCAGAAAACACATAATGGGCAAGAGCTATGAACTAGCCTCTGTGCTAGGTCCTGGAGAAATAAAGATTAAAAAAGCTTTCTTGTCTGGCTTCAGGAAGCTACAAGCCTAGTGGTAAAAACAAGCATTTGACAGTATGGTTTCAGTTCTTTATGGTAAGTGGTGTTTACACACAATTAAAGAAGAACTCAGAAAAAGAAAGAAAAGGAAAGGGGAAGAGAGAGAGACTGTTGGAGATGTTAGGGAAGTCTTAAGAGGAGGGGACCTGTGATGCAAACTGTTTTTAAAACACAAGAGATTGTCTGAATGATAAGAAAGAATTCCAAAGAGAAGAAACAATGTAGCTACAGGTATGAAAGCAAAAGGACTGATCAGGTAACGAAAAATGATTCAGTTGTGCTGACTCCAGGACATGGAAGAGGTGGGGATTGAAGGAGATAAAACCAGAAGGGTAGGTTGGGGTCATATTCTGAAGGCCTCATATGCCAAATTAAGGAATTTCAGCTTTAACTTTTTTTTAAAAAAAACAGAGTCTTGCTCTGTTGCCCAGGCCGGAGTGCAGTGGCACAATCTCAGCTCTCTGCAACCTCCGCCTCCTGGGTTCAAGTGATTCTCCTGTCTCAGCCTCCTGAGTAGCTGGGATTACAGGCATGCGTCACCACATCCGGCTAATTTTTGTATTTTTAGTAGAGACAGGGTTTCTCCATGTTGCCCAGGCTGATCTCAAACTCCTGACCTCAGGTGATCCACCAACCTTGGCCTCCCAAAGTGCTGGGATTACAGGCGTGAACCACTGCACCCGGACAGTTTTTACTTTTAAATATGGGAACTACCCAGGACTTAGGAGAACTAGGATTCAGTTTGTGAAGCATCTATATGAATTCTTAACATCTTTATCATACTTAGCTCCCCTGAGATATCTAAAAAGCCATATAGGGGGAGGGAGACTTTGGACTGCAAGCCAAAAAGCTCATGAGTAAAAAGAAAATGTGACTAAGGTATTGGGGAGAATACACAGAAATAATTATGTACTTAAGATGAAGCTGAATCAGACTGTCATAGAGAACATGGAGTGGAGGCTGTCCCAGGACTGTCATGTAGATTTGGGGTTTGAGATACAGATGAGCACCAAGGGAAGAATAAGGATTTGCTGTCAAATCAGTGACTAGGCTGGGCCTCAGACCTGGTGGCAGTATGGTCTCAGGGCACACTTTCTACTAGGCTGAAAGTGTGGACTCTTTAATCAGAAAAGCCTTTGAACGAACAAACAAACAAAACAGCCGAGATCCAAAGGACACATGTATCTGCATTCCAGACCATAATAGAACTACTAGGGCATTTTTCAGGATTAACAAGGTCAATGGCAAAAATAAAACCATATCTAAAGTTCTCTAAGAACATCATAAGGTGGCTAAAAGTAACTAAGACAAGTTGTTAACTGACAAGAAAAAAAACTGAAAAAAGCAAAACATTGCTGGTAAAGATTTTGACAGGCATTCAGTAAACATTCATGAAATGTTTACCAGTTATTCAATAAACATTCATAAAGTATTTACTATGTGCCAGATACTATGCTAGACATAAAAAAATCTTGAAATAAGCCCTGTACTATCCCTTAAATAGTTTCCAGTCTTGAAAGGGAGATGGGTTTATGCAGAACTCACCGTAATTCAATGTGATGGAGAAATGAACAAAGTATGCTTAATATTTAATGACAAAAATGTAAGCCTCGGGATATTTTTTCCTGATCTATATAAAGCTAAATCTCATCAAGCTAAGAATGGACTTTGCACGTTGAAGTTCAGTGAAATAAATGCCTGTTACCTGGACAGTAAGGTTGCCTTGATCTGTGTGTAGTGCTATCTCCTGGGGCCAAAGGCTATGTAGCTCCTGCTGGGCATCACTCAGAACATTTCATCACCATGGAATTTTAGAACATTTATCACTCAGGTTTTTCAGAAATCTTGTTTGAACAGAATAGCTTAACAGTCAGACATTATGGAATCAAATGTTTTCAACAATCCCTTTTTTTGGAATTATTTTAGTCATCATTCATGCTCTGTATCACTGCTTTCACACTGTAGCCCCTTGCCACAAGACAATTTCCCAACCATTATCTCACTAGGTCCTCAGAACAATCTCAAGGGAGACAAGGATAAGGCTCTCATTATACAGATAATAAGATTGAGATAGAAAAAGGAGTGAAGGCAGAACTTGAACTTGCACCAGTTGGCTGGCATTTTCTGTTTTCCTAGAATAAATCCTCACCCAAGGGCGACTCACAATGGAGATAGTGATGTACTAGAGAAATCAAACTAGGCAAAATTTACATTCTCCGGGGCCTCAAACATTCCAAATAAATCAAAACCTCATCCCCAAGGCTTTTCCAAGAGAGGTCCTATATAAAAGGGCCACCTGGTACCCTTACTCTAGCCAGTGGGGACTCATGAGGAAGAGCATCTCCAGCACAGCACAAGCTGTAAAGTCTTATTCATGCAGAACCAGCTGAGAATTTAGGGAACATGAGTATCCATTTTCTCCAATATTAAAACAAATCATAGAAAAGCATTTAGAGCTCCACAAGCAAACCTAACCCTTACTTAAACAGATTCAAGAATTCAGTAGACACTGTGTTGCGTTAGATCTGGAGCCAGATGCTGGGAATAAGTGGTCAATTATGCCAAGTGTCTGGCCTGTGGACAGACAGACTGATATATATATATATAAATAATATATATTAACGTAGCATATATATTAACATAACATATATATATATATATATATATATATATTTGGTAGACTAATGAATGTTAAACTAGAGCACAGAAGGAAGAAAGCTTTAGTTCCAATTGATGTTTTTAAATTATAAATAAAGAATAATAAACACAGGTTCTTGGCCAGTCAACCAGCTCACCTCTCTTCAAGCACACACTAAACACCATTAGCAATAAAGGGACAGATCATGCAATAGAGGGATTTGAGATCTTTATGGTGGTGCAGGACTCTTTTATGTAAGGAAACTTCCAGCAACTCAAACTTTAAACTCTTATTTCTGTGGATGCCATCGAAGACTTCAGAAAGCATGAGTACCTCACTCACTCACTGCCTAGTAGAACTGAGGCTAGGATATGTTAAATGCCTTTGCAATATTTCTGTTGGACACACACTCCCTCCTCCCCAGCAATCTACAGACATATATCTCTGAGACATCTGTAAGCCCAAAGGAAAGCCTATGCACTTGTACTGGGTGGGGGTAGGGAGACACAATATAAACCTGAAGGCCACTGAACTGAGATAGAAGTTAATGATTCACCCACAAAGACCTCTTGAAATTGAGAGTCACAACATTTAAGCAACTCAACCAGGAATAGAGAGTTAATGAATGAGGGAGCTAAGGCTTGAATTCAGTCTGCTGACTTCAAGCCTTCCCATTCCTTATGCTGTAGCTGTGAGAAGTGACTGGTAAAAATGGGCTCTTAACCAAAGTCCACCATGGGATCCCAGTATTCACTAAAAGAAAACTTTCACCATGGGATCCCAGTATTCACTAAAAGAAAACTTTCAGTGGGAATAGAACAATGAGAACACATGGACACAGGAAGGGGAACATCACACTCTGGGGACTGTTGTAGGGTGGGGGGAGGGGGGAGGGATAGCATTGGGAGATATACCTAATGCTAGATGACGAGTTGGTGGGTGCAGTGCACCAGCATGGCACATGTATACATATGTAACTAACCTGCACATTGTGCACATGTACCCTAAAACTTAAAGTATAATAATAATAAATAAAACATTAAAAAAAAAAAGAAAAAAGAGAAAACTTTCATACTTTAAACAAAGTAGATTAGATTAAGAAAATAGGAAGATCTATTCAATAGGGTTGGGAAAACAGAGAAAGAGTATGCAGGAAGAGTATGCATTTTTCTTTGGCGATAGAGTTTTCTTATCAAAGACTAGAAGTGGATGTTGCAGTTTCTAGATGTCACTCTTGAGGCTTTCAAGGATCCTCAAAATAGCTTCAGAATAGGCTGTGCTCCCACCAGAGTCTGGACTTTCTTCCTGTCTTCTCATTGGCCATCTATAAGCCATCTTATTTTTTCCTCATTTGGCTTCTGGACCCCTAGCCTCAATAGCTCCTTCACTCTTGCCCTGGAAATGAGCTTACTCTAGCTTCTTATGGCCTGTGGACCCTTAATGTAATACGTTAGCAGCACCAGCATATAGTTTATAAAGCATTTTCATTTGACCCTCACCACATGTCTGTGGTATTGTAGAGATAATATCATCGGCACTTTATCTGTTAGGAAACTAAGGCTCAGAGGAGAGATGGGTAACTCTAATAGGTAGTCAAAGTCATATAGCTGGTGATTGTCAGAATTACTTAAACCCAGGTAGTTGCTCCAATCCTTCTTATTGCACTATTCTTCTTTGCTTAAGAGAAGTTCCTTTCATTTACTGTGTAGCAACTGAGGTTTAGCTCCAGCATTCCTCCATCCTGATAACCGAACACATCTGTATTTAAACATTTTCTGCCTTCGTTGGAAATGACAGCAAAGCATGCCCTCAGGCATGCTGTGTTGTTGCATTATTGTGGCTCAGAGGAGAGTTTTCTAGCTGGTTCCATATCGCCTCAACTTGCCTAAATATAAGGGCTTACTTTTTTACCCCCCACTGTACCCCCAATTTCTCTCTAATGTTCCCTTCTTCTCTTGTACTATTTCTACCTCTTCTTCTTCTTCTATTCTAGAGGCTTTTATCTTTTTTCTTTGCTCTTTCATGAGGGACTATCCACAAAGGTATTTTGGGTGGGAGAATTGCTAAGCCACTTCTCGATGATCAATAAACTTCCAGCTGATTGCTGTCAACAAACCTCACTAAACTGCAACAAGATGGACATCGCATCTTGGTTCTAAACTCTCAGAAAGTTTCCTGCATTGTTCAGACAAGACTGTTAAGTGTTTCACTGCTAATTTCACTCCTGTGTGGTTCCTTCCTTTGAATTTGACCAGCCCAAAGCTATATCTAGTTTAAGAAATTAAAAAATCTGCTCTCCAAGTGTGCATGCAAATATTTCTATTGTATACCTTTTGGAACTTAAAAGTCAAGAATTTTTCACTTTTGTTTCTCGAGCTTTTTAATTATCTCAATTTTTTCAAAGGAATTGAGGAACTGAGTGACCAGAGTTTAATTCTGTGGACTGGAGATAGGAGGTGGGGAGAGGAAAGGCCTTTAGGATGAAAGTAAAATATAAGATGAAATGGGGGAAGGAAGGAAAACAATGGAAATATTTTTCAAATTTATTTCTCTAGTCTTTCATTCGATTTGTTGATTTCTTGATTTAGAATGTTTATCCCACAGAACAATTTAGACTCTAGGCTTTCTGTTACTGGGCAATTTTAGCTAAGTTTCTTATTTCTAACCAAACTAGGAATGAATGGATGCTACTGTTAGTGTTCAATCTGTACAACGTCTTTTTAAGGTTTAATCAGAGCAAAAGGAGTTTAGAAGTTGTCATTCCATCCTTAGAATCAGAAAAAGCTGGACAAACTAAAAGCCAATAACTTTTTTGGACCCATTAGAGAACTGAGGTTGCAAATCAAGTTGCCACCTGGATATCTGAGGAGATATTACAGCTAAGACACAGCTGAGATCTGCCTCCTTTCAGGAGGCACTGGAGCCATAAACTAGAGTACTCGAATGGCAATTTTGATGAACTGCTGGGAGCTGAGTATGGACTAGCTCGACAGTGAGAAATTCCTAGGGGTCACAGTCTTATAGGAGCTCCCACACTTTCATGGATTTTGCATACAGGAACCTCACCAGATTCTCATGGTGAAGATTCAAAAAGGATCTCCTCTTGGCTCTGGCAGGGGGAAGGGAAAATTAATCATTGTGAAATACACTCACATCCTTCTCCATAACAAAGGCCTGTATTTCATAGAAAACTAACTTTGCTAGAGTCTTAGGTCAGGGGAAGGAATCCTTTCTATCCAGTCACCTTTACCCTTTCCATCTCAACTAAGAAGGAAAAATTGTCAACACGGGTCAGGACTTCAAATGAACAGATGGGCAATTCTGCAGGCAGGGAAAGGAGATGAACTGGGGAAAATATACTAAAGGAGAAAATCATGTGATGGTCACAGCTTTGAGACATGGGCCAACTAAAAGACTGAGAACTAATTAGTAGATAATAGAAAACTTCCTCCACCCTAAATTACCACCATACCAACAGGGCTCCAGTATAATAGCAGTGGATTACAGCTGAGAGAGTGTCAGATGCAGACTTTTTGAGGAAGAGTACTTATGGGAACCCAAAGTCAAAAGGAGAGACAAAAACAAGGACAGTAGAGGAATTTGAAGTCTCTGACCAGATTAGCATAAATTCTTGCATTAAAGGCCTATTTATGTTACTTTCTATTACCTAATACAACATGTACAGCTTTCAACAACAACAAAAATTATAAGGTATGCTGAAAAGAAAAAAACAGAATCTGAATACAGAAGTCAAGCATCAAACCAGATTCAGATATGTCACAGATATTGGAATTATCAGTCAGAGAATTTTAATAACTATGAAGATCTAAAATACATGATAAGGGCTCTAAAGGAAAAAGTAGACAACATGCAAGAAAGATGGGTAATGTAAGTAGAGAGAAAACCTAAGAAAGAATAATAAAGAAATGCTAGAAATCAAAAACAAAGTGAGAGAAATAAAGAATGCCTTCCATGGACTCATTATTACATTCAACATGACCAAGGAGAGAGTAAATGAGCTTGGAAATTTTTCAATAGAAACTTCACAAACTAAAATGCAAGAAGTAAAAAAAAAGAGAAGAAAATAAAACAGAACATCAAATAACTGGGGGAAAATATCAAAAGGCATAACATACGGAATAAGAATAACAGGAAGAGAAGAACAAAAGAATGTAATAAAAAAATTGAAATAATAATGACTAAGAACCTTCCAAAATTAATGACAGGCATGACACCACAGATCCAGAAATCTTAGAGAACACCAAGCAAGGTAAACCAAATGCTCCTATGAAAAAATAAGCAAACAAACAAACAAAAACTCCACTTAAGCAAATGAGTCATATTATATTCCAGGCTCAGAAAATCAAGGACAGAGAAAATCTTTAAATAAGCCAGAGGGAAATAATTATCTTAACTACAGAGGAGTGAGAATAAGAATTAATGCAGACTCCTTATCAGAAACCCCTGCAAACAAGAAGGTGGAGTAAAATGTTTAAAGTGTTAAAATAAAAAACACAGCCACCTAGAATGGAGAGCAAAACTATTCTTCAAAAATAAAAGAGAAACAAAGACTTTATCAGACAAGCAAAACTAAATGAACTTAATGCCAAAAGACTTGCCATTCAAGAAATGCTAAAATAACATATTTATGAAGAAAAAATTATATAGGTCAGAAACTTGAATCAACATAAAAAAGGAAGAAAGTAGATTATTCTTAGCTGAACTAAAAATACTAGTTTTTTTTAAAACTTTTATTTTAGGTTAAGGGGTGTGTGTGCTTCTTTAAAGCAATAATAGTAGCAATGTACTTGGTTAGTGGAATAAATAAATAAATAAAATAAACAAAAAGTAGCTGGGAAGAATTGGGAATAATCACTATTATAAGATATCTACACTACATGTGAAGGCAGAGTGTTTTTTGAAAGTGAACTTAGATTAGCTTAAAATGTATATTGTATACTCCAGGATAACTATTATAATTTTTAAAGAATGAAAACTGGCTCCCTCTCCCTCTCCCTCTACCCACAGTCTCCCTCTGCCCACTGTCTCCCTCTCCCTCTCTTTCCATGGTCTCCCTCTGATGCCGAGCCGAAGCTGGACTGTACTTCTGCCATCTCCGCTCACTGCAACCTCCCTGCCTGATTCTCCTGCCTCAGCCTGCCGAGTGCCTGCGATTGCAGGTGCGCGCCGCCACGCCTGACTGGTTTTCGTATTTTTTTTGGTGGAGATGGGGTTTTGCTGTGTTGGCTGGGCTGGTCTCCAGCTCCTAACCGTGAGTGATCTGCCAGCCTCGGCCTCCCGAGGTGCCGGGATTGCAGACTGCAGACGGAGTCTCCTTCACTCAGTGCTCAATGTTGCCCAGGCTGGAGTGCAGTGGCGTGATCTCGGCTCGCTACAACCTCCACCTCCCAGCCGCCTGCCTTGGCCTCCCAAAGTGCTGAGATTGCAGCCTCTGCCCGGCCGCCACCCCGTCTGGGAAGTGAGGAGCGTCTCTGCCTGGCCACCCATCGTCTGGGATGTGAGGAGCCCCTCTGCCCGGTGCCCAGTCTGGGAAGTGAAGAGTGCCTCTTCCCGGCTGCCATCCCATCTAGGAAGTGAGGAGCATCTCTGCCTGGCCACCCATTGTCTGAGATGTGGGGAGCGCCTCTGCCCCGCCGCCCTGTCTGGGATGTGAGGAGTGCCTCTGCCCAGCCACGACCCCGTCTGGGAGGTGAGGAGCGTCTCTGCCCAGCCGCCCCGTCTGAGAAGTGAGGAGCCCCTCTGCCCGGCAGCCACCCCGTCTGGGAAGTGAGGAGCGTCTCCGCCCAGCAGCCGCCCCGTCCGGGAGGTGGGGGGCAGCCCCCGCCCAGCCACTGCCCTGTCCGGGAGGTGGGGGGCGCCTCTGCCCAGCCGCCCCTTGTGGGAAGTGAGGAGCCCCTCTGCCCGGCTGCCACCCCATCTGGGAGGTGTACCCAACAGCTCATTGAGAACGAGCCATGATGACGATGGTGGTTTTGTCTAATAGAAAAGGGGGAAATGTGGGGAAAAGATAGAGAAGTCAGATTGTTGCTGTGTCTGTGTAGAAAGAAGTAGACATAGGAGACTCCATTTTGTTCTGTACTAAGAAGAATTCTTCTGCCTTGGGATGCTGTTGATCTATGACCTTACCCCCAACCCGGTGCTCTCTGAAACATGTGCTGTGTCCACTCAGGGTTAAATGGATTTAGGGCGGTGCAAGATGTGCTTTGTTAAACAGATGCTTGAAGGCAGCATGCTCCTTAAGAGTCATCACCACTCCCTAATCTCAAGTACCCAGGGACACAAACACTGGAAAAAAAAAAAAAAGAACAAAAACTGGTATGCTAAGAGACAATATGGAGTTATAAGCCACAGAATACAAAAAAGAAGAAAGCAAACAAAGAACAAATGCAATAAATAGAAAACAGTTGCTTCAATTAAAAGACAGACTGTCAAGGTTATAAAAAACAAGACTCATTTAAAGGTTGTTTAAATATGAATGGTCCAAATACATTTAATTAAAAGACTGTTGAGGCACACAGGATTCATTTATAGGTTGTTTATAGTTTCTATCTGAATAAAAACCCATGTACACAGCTTAAAAATAAAGAAATGGAGAAAGATATACCATGCTAACACTAATCCAAAGAAAGTTGCAGCAATTATATTAATTTCAGACAAAGCTAAATTCTGAACTGGGAAGATTATGAAGTATAAAAAAGGGTATAACATAACGATAAAAATATTGATTCTACAAGATAAAAAATATATAAATGTGTATGTTTGGAGCAAAAAGACATCAAAATACATGAGTCAAAAACTTTTAGAACTGAAAAGGTAAAGCACCAAATCTATTATAGGTGAATACTTAAATGCCCTTTCATCAGTAATTGTTTAAGAACACAGAATATCAGAAAGAATATAGAGGAACTAAACAGAACTATCAACCACTTTCTCTAATTGATATTTATAGAATACTCCACCCAATGACAATGGAATATACATTCTTCTCAAGCTCACATGAAACATTCACCAAGATAGACATTCTGGAGCATAAACCACACATTTACCAATTTTTAAAAATAGAAATTATACAACGTATGTTATCAGATCACAGTGAAGTTAAAACCAGAAATCAAGAACAGAGGATAGCTGGAAAATCCCAGCATATGTGAAAATTTCTATATAACACATTGGTCAAAGAAGAAGTCTGAAGAGAAATTTTTAAAATATATTTTGAGCTGAAAGAAAATGGAAATACAACTTATCATTTTTGACATGCAGACATAGTAATATTTGAAGGCAAATTTAAATCATTAAATGCATACAATAGAAAAGAAGAAATATTTGGCATCAATAACATAAGCCTTGTCATAAGAAACTAGGGAAAGAAAAACAAAGCAAGCAGAAGAAAAATAAATATCAGCAGAAATCAATAAAATTGAAAGTAGAAAAACATTTGATATTGACTATCAGCAAAGTTTAAAGCTGATTCTTTGGAAAGATCAGTAAAATTTATAAACCTCTTGAAAGAGAAAGAAGAAAAATAAAAGAACACACAAATTAGCAATACCCTAAATGAAAAAGGGGCCATAACTACTGACCCACTGATATTAAGAAGATTATAAGGAAATAGGAAAAACTCTATGCCCAGAAATTTGATAACAACTTAAATGAAATAGGTCAATTCCTTGAAAGATACAATGTACCACAACTCACACAAGGAGAAATAAAGAAACTGAATAGCCTTATATGTATTAAAAAAATAATTTAATAATAATTAGCCTTTCAAAAAATTAAAGTAACAGGCCCAGATGGTTTTACTGGTGAATTCTACCAAATAATTAAGTAATAAATAATGCCAATTTTCCACAGTCTCTTCTAGAAAGTGGAGGCAGAGAAAATGTTTTTTGAGTAATTCCATGAAGTCACTATTACCTTCATACCAAAATCAAACAGACATATTTTTTAAAAACATAGACAATATATCTAATGAATGTTAAGGTAAAAATTTTGACAAAATATGAGTAAATCAAATACAACAATATATAAGATAAAGTATACACCATGACTAAATGTCGTTTATTTCATGTTTTCAAGGCTAGTTCAAGATTCAAAAGCCAATCAATGTAATCCACCAAATCAACATGATAAAGAAGAAAAATCATATGTTTATGTCAGTTGGTGCAGGAAAATCATCTGACAAAAGCCAATGCTGACTTCTGATTTAGAAAAAGTAAAATTCTCAGCAAATTAGGAATAAAGAAGAACTTTATCAACTTGATAAAGAATATTTTTTAAACCCACAACTAACGTTATACTTAAGGTGAGAAACTGAATTCTTTCCCCCTAAGATCAAGAGCAAGACAAGGATGTTTCCTCTCAGCACTTCTATTCAACATCTTACCAGAAGTCCTGGTTTCTGCAATAAGACAAGAAAAAGAAATAAAAGGTATATAGATTGGAAGAAAGAATTAGTGTTGTCTTTATTAACAATTGCCATTATTGAATAAACCCCAAAGAACCTACAAACAAAGCTTCCAGGACTAATGAGTATGGTAATGTAATAGAATACAAGGTCACTATACAAAAGTCAATTGTTTTTCTATGCACCAGTAATGAAAAAATGAAATTAGAAGTAAATACCACAAATAATAAAATAAACATAAATCTAAACAAGAGTGTAGAATTTTGATATAGAAAACTACATAACACTGAATAGAAAAATCAAAGATTATCTAAATAAATTGAGATATTTCATGTTCTTGGATTGAAATAGTCAATATTGTTAAGATAGCATCTTTTGGAGGAGGAGCCAAGATGGCTGAATAGGAACAGCTCTGGTCTACAGCTCCCAGCGTGAGCGACGCAGAAGACGGGTGATTTCTGCATTTCCATCTGAGGTACTGGGTTCATCTCACTAGGGAGTGCCAGACAGTGGGCGTGGGTCAGTGAGTGCGCGCACCGTGCGCGAGCCGAAGCAGGGCGAGGCATTGCCTCACTTGGGAAGCGCAAGGGGTCAGGGAGCTCCCTTTCCGAGTCAAAGAAAGGGGTGACGGACGCACCTGGAAAATCGGGTCACTCCCACCCGAATATTGTGCTTTTCGGACCGGCTTAAAAAACTGCACACCACGAGATTATATCCCGCACCTGGCTCGGAGGGTCCTACGCCCATGGAGTCTCGCTGATTGCTAGCACAGCAGTCTGAGATCAAACTGCAAGGCGGCAGCGAGGCTGGGGGAGGGGCGCCCACCATTGTCCAGGCTTGCTTAGGTAAACAAAGCAGCCAGGAAGCTCGAACTGGGTAGAGCCCACCACAGCTCAAGGAGGCCTGCCTGCCTCTGTAGGCTCCACCTCTGGGGGCAGGGCACAGACAAACAAAAAGACAGCAGTAACCTCTGCAGACTTAAATGTCCCTGTCTGACAGCTTTGAAGAGAGCAGTGGTTCTCCCAGCATGCAGCTGGAGATCTGAGAACAGGCAGACTGCCTCCTCAAGTGGGTCCCTGACCCCTGACCCCCAAGCAGCCTAACTGGGAGGCACCCCCAGCAGGGCACACTGACACCTCACAAGGCAGGGTATTCCAACAGAACTGCAGCTGAGGGTCCTGTCTGTTAGAAGGAAAACTAACAAACGGAAAGGACATCCACACCAAAAACCCATCTGTACATCACCATCATCAAAGACCAAAAGTAGATAAAACCACAAAGATGGGGAAAAAACAGAACAGAAAAACTGGAAACTCTAAAACGCAGAGCGCCTCTCCTCCTCCAAAGGAACACAGTTCCTCACCAGCAACGGAACAAAGCTGGATGGAGAATGACTTTGATGAGCTGAGAGAAGAAGGCTTCAGACGATCAAATTACTCTGAGTTACGGGAGGACATTCAAACCAAAGGCAAAGAAGTTGAAAACTTTGAAAAAAATTTAGAAGAATGTGTAGCTAGAATAACCAATACAGAGAAGTGCTTAAAGGAGTTGATGGAGCTGAAAACCAAGGCTCGAGAACTACGTGAAGAATGCAGAAGCCTCAGGAGCCGATGCGATCAAGTGGAAGAGAGGGTATCAGCAATGGAAGATGAAATAAATGAAATGAAGCAAGAAGGGAAGTTTAGAGAAAAAAGAATAAAAAGAAATGAGCAAAGCCTCCAAGAAATATGGGACTATGTGAAAAGACCAAATCTACGTCTGATTGGTGTACCTGAAAGTGATGGGGAGAATGGAACCAAGTTGAAAAACACTCTGCAGGATATTATCCAGGAGAACTTCCCCAATCTAGCAAGGCAGGCCAACGTTCAGATTCAGGAAATACAGAGAACACCACAGAGATACTCCTCGAGAAGAACTCCAAGACACATAATTGTGAGATTCACCAAAGTTGAAATGAAGGAAAAAATGTTAAGGGCAGCCAGAGAGAAAGGTCGGGTTACCCTCAAAGGGAAGCCCATCAGACTAACAGCGGATCTCTCTGCAGAAACCCTACAAGCCAGAAGAGAGTGGGGGCCAATATTCAACATTCTTAAAGAAAAGAATTTTCAACCCAGAATTTCATATCCAGCCAAACTAAGCTTCATAAGTGAAGGAGAAATAAAATACTTTACAGACAAGCAAATGTTGAGAGATTTTGTCACCACCAGGCCTGCCCTAAAAGATCTCCTGAAGGAAGCGCTAAACATGGAAAGGAACAACCGGTACCAGCCGCTGCAAAATCATGCCAAAATATAAAGATCATCGAGACTAGGAAGAAACTGCATCAACTAACGAGCAAAATAGCCAGCTAACATCATAATGACTGGATCAAATTCACACATAACAATATTAACTTTAAATGTAAATGGACTAAATGCTCCAATTAAAAGACACAGACTGGCAAATTGGATAAAGAGTCAAGACCCATCAGTGTGCTGTATTCAGGAAACCCATCTCACCTGCAGAGACACACATAGGCTCAAAATAAAAGGATGGAGGAAGATCTACCAAGAAAATGGAAAACAAAAAAAGGCAGGGGTTGCAATCCTAGTCTCTGATAAAACAGACATTAAACCAACAAAGATCAAAAGAGAAAAAGAAGGCCATTACATAATGGTAAAGGGATCAATTCAACAAGAAGAGCTAACTATCCTAAATATATATGCACCCAATACAGGAGCACCCAGATTCATAAAGCAAGTCCTCAGTGACCTACAAAGAGACTTAGACTCCCACACATTAATAATGGGAGACTTTAACACCTCACTGTCAACATTAGACAGATCAACGAGACAGAAAGTCAACAAGAATACCCAGGAATTGATCTCAGCTCTGCACCAAGCGGACCTAATAGACATCTACAGAACTCTCCACCCCAAATCAACAGAATATACATTTTTTTCAGCACCACACCACACCTATTCCAAAATTGACCACATAGTTGGAAGTAAAGCTCTCCTCAGTAAATGTAAAAGAACACAGATTATAACAAACTATCTCTCAGACCACAGTGCAATCAAACTAGAACTCAGGATTAAGAATCTCACTCAAAACCACTCAACTACATGGAAACTGAACAACCTGCTCCTGAATGACTACTGGATACATAACGAAATGAAGGCAGAAATAAAGATGTTCTTTGAAACCAATGAGAACAAAGACACAACATACCAGAATCTCTGGGACACATTCAAAGCAGTGTGTAGAGGGAAATTTATAGCACTAAATGCCCACAAGAGAAAGCAGGAAAGATCCACAATTGACACCCTAACATCACAATTAAAAGAACTAGAAAAGCAAGAGCAAACACATTCAAAAGCTAGCAGAAGGCAAGAAATAACTAAAATCAGAGCAGAACTGAAGGAAATAGAGACACAAAAAACCCTTCAAAAAATTAATGAATCTAGGAGCTGGTTTTTTGAAAGGATCAACAAAATTGATAGACCACTAGCAAGACTAATAAAGAAAAAAAGAAGAATCAAATAGACACAATAAAAAATGATCAAGGGGATATCACCACCGATCCCACAGAAATACAAACTACCATCAGAGAATACTACAAACACCTCTATGCAAATAAACTAGAAAATCTAGAAGAAATGGATAAACTCCTCGACACATACACTCTCCCAAGACTAAACCAGGAAGAAGTTGAATCTCTGAATAGACCAATAGCAGGCTCTGAAATTGTGGCAATAATCAATAGTTTACCAATCAAAAAGAGTCCAGGACCAGATGGATTCACAGCCGAATTCTACCAGAGGTACAAGGAGGAACTGGTACCATTCCTTCTGAAACTATTCCAATCAATAGAAAAAGAGGGAATCCTCCCTAACTCATTTTGTGAGGCCAGCATCATTCTGACACCAAAGCATGGCAGAGACACAACCAAAAAAGAGAATTTTAGACCAATATCCTTGATGAACATTGATGCAAAAATCTTCAATAAAATTCTGCCAAAACGAATCCAGCAGCACATCAAAAAGCTTATCCACCATGATCAAGTGGGCTTCATCCCTGGGATGCAAGGCTGGTTCAATATACACAAATCAATAAATGTAATCCAGCACATAAACAGAGCCAAAGACAAAAACCACATGATTATCTCAATAGATGCAGAAAAAGCCTTTGACAAAATTCAACAACCCTTCATGCTAAAAACTCTCAATAAATTAGGTATTGATGGGACGTATTTCAAAATAATAAGAGCTATCTATGACAAACCCACAGCCAATATCATACTGAATGGGCAAAAACTGGAGGCATTCCCTTTGAAAACTGGCACAAGACAGGGATGCCCTCTCTCACCACTCCTATTCAACATAGTGTTGGAAGTTCTGGCCAGGGCAATTAGGCAGGAGAAGGAAATAAAGGGTATTCAATTAGGAAAAGAGGAAGTCAAATTGTCCCTGTTTGCAGATGACATGATTGTATATCTAGAAAACCCCATTGTCTCAGCCCAAAATCTCCTTAAGCTGATAAGCAACTTCAGCAAAGTCTCAGGATACAAAATCAATGTGCAAAAATCACAAGCATTCCTATACACCAACAACAGACAAACAGAGAGCCAAATCATGAGTGAACTCCCATTCACAATTGCTTCAAAGAGAATAAAATACCTAGGAATCAAACTTACAAGGGATGTGAAGGACCTCTTCAAGGAGAACTACAAACCACTGCTCAAGGAAATAAAAGAGGATACAAACAAATGGAAGAACATTCCATGCTCATGGGTAGGAAGAATCAATATCGCGAAAATGGCCATACTGCCCAAGGTAATTTACAGATTCAATGCCATCCCCATCAAGCTACCAATGACTTTCTTCACAGAATTGGAAAAAACTACTTTAAAGTTCATATGGAACCAAAAAAGAGCCCGCATCGCCAAGTCGATCCTAAGCCAAAAGAACAAAGCTGGAGGCATCACACTACTTGACTTCAAACTATGCTACAAGGCTACAGTAACCAAAACAGCATGGTACTGGTACCAAAACAGAGATATAGACCAATGGAACAGAACAGAGCCCTCACAAATAACGCCGCATATCTACAACTATCTGATCTTTGACAAACCTAAGAAAAACAAGCAATGGGGAAAGGATTCCCTATTTAATAAGTGGTGCTGGGAGAACTGGCTAGCCATATGTAGAAAGCTGAAACTGGATCCCTTCCTTACACCTTATACAAAAATCAATTCAAGATGGATTAAAGACTTAAACGTTAGACCTAAAACCATAAAAACCCTTGAAGAAAACCTAGGCTTTACCATTCAGGACATAGGGATGGGCAAGGACTTCATGTCCAAAACACCAAAAGCAATGGCAACAAAAGCCAAAATTGACAAATGGGATCTAATTAAACTAAAGAGCTTCTGCACAGCAAAAGAAACTACCATCAGAGTGAACAGGCAACCTACAACATGGGAGAAAATTTTCGCATCCTACTCATCTGACAAAGGTCTAATATCCAGAATCTATAATGAACTCAAACAAATTTACAAGAAAAAAACAAACAACCCCATCAAAAAGTGGGCAAAGGACATGAACAGACACTTCTCAAAAGAAGACATTTATGCAGCCAAAAAATACATGAAAAAATGCTCATTATCACTGGCCATCAGAGAAATGCAAATCAAAACCACAATGAGATACCATCTCACACCAGTTAGAATGGCAATCATTAAAAAGTCAGGAAACAACAGGTGCTGGAGAGGATGTGGAGAAATAGGAACACTTTTACACTGTTGGTGGGACTGTAAACTAGTTCAACCATTGTGGAAGTCAGTGTGGCGATTCCTCAGGGATCTAGAACTAGAAATACCATTTGACCCAGCCATCCCATTACTGGGTATATACCCAAAGGACTATAAATCATGCTGCTATAAAGACACATGCACACATATGTTTATTGAGGCATTATTCACAATAGCAAAGACTTGGAACCAACCCAAATGTCCAACAATGATAGACTGGATTAAGAAAATGTGGCACATATACACCATGGAGTACTATGCAGCCATAAAAAATGATGAGTTCATGTCCTTTGTAGGGACAAGGATGAAATTGGAAATCATCATTCTCAGTAAACTATCACAAGAACAAAAAACCAAACACCGCATATTCTCACTCATAGGTGGGAATTGAACAATGAGAACACATGGACACAGGAAGGGGAACATCACACTCTGGGGCTTGTTGTGGGGGAGGGGGAGGGGGGAGGGATAGCACTGGGAGATATACCTAATGCTAGATGACGAGTTAGTGGGTGCAGCGCACCAGCATGGCACATGTATACATATGTAACTAACCTGCACAATGTGCACATGTACCCTAAAACTTAAAGTATAATTAAAAAAAAAAAAAAGATAGCATCTTTTCTCAACAGATTTACAGATTCACACAATTCTAATCAAAATCTCAGCAAGGTATTTTGTAAATATTGACAAACTGCTTCTAAAGCTTTTATGGAAAGATAAAGCATCTAGAATAGCCAACACAATACTGGACAGAACAAAGTTAGAGAACTGAAAGCTACTGAAATTGAACTTGTATCCAAAATGTACAAAGAACTCTTACAACTCAACAATAACAAAACAAGTAACCCAATTTAAAAATCAGCCAAATAACTGAATAGCAACATCATCAAAAATCTATAGATAGCAAATAAGCACATGAATAAATGTTCATCATTTCTTATTAGGAAAATGAAAATTAAAATAACAATGAAATACCACCACGTAGTTATTAGAATGGCTAAAATTTAAAACACTGACAACTCCAATTGCTGGTGAAGATGTGGTACAGTAGGAACTCTCAATCATTAAGGGTTGGGATGCAACATGGTATAGCTACTTTGGAAGAGAGTTGGACAGTTTTACACAAAGATAAACATATTCTTGCCCTATGATCCAGCAACCACACTGCTAGGTGTTTATCTAAATGATGAAAAACTTTTGTCCACAAAGAAATCTGCATACAAAAGTTTATAGCAGCTTTCTTCATAGTCTGTAAAAATTGGAGTCAACCAAGAAGTCATTCAATAAGTGAGAAGGTAAATAATCTGTTGAACACCCACACAATGGAATCCTATTCAGTATTATAAGTAATAAGCTGTCAAACATTTTAAATTTTGATGACGTTTTAAATTTTAATGAAACCCAATTTATCATATTTTTCATGGATCATAATTTTAGTTTAAAGAATCCTGCCTATATTTATGTGAGTAGTCTACTTTGACTTAATTTTTATATAAGATATGAGACTTAGGTTGAAGTTTATTATTATTATTATTTTTGCCCGTGAATCTCTAAGTGCTCTAGCATCATTAATTGTTGAACAGGCTATCTTTCTCCATCAAATTACTTCGTAATCTCTCTAAAAAATAAGTAGGACATATTTGTGACTATTTTAGTTTCTCTATTCTGTCCTATTGATCTGTTTATCTATCTTTCTACCAATACTTAACAATCTTTATTATTATAAATATATAATAAGCCTTAAAATTTGGTAGACTTATTTCTTCACTTTACTCTTTCTTTCCTATATTATTTTAACTATTCTAGTTCCTTAGCTTTTCCACATAAATTTTAGAATAATCTTTTCTATATCTACAAAAAAATTCTGAGATATTGATAGAAATTACATTATTTCTATATATCAATTTAGGAAGAAGTAATGTATTCACTATATGAGTCTTCCAATCCATAAACACATATATCTCTTCACTTACTTTGATCTTTGATTTTTTTATCAGCATTTATAGCTTTGAATATACAAATCCTATACATATTTTGTTATACTTACTGCTATTTCACTTTTTTTCCAGTTGTAAATGGCTTTTTGCTACTAATTTCAGTGCCTGCGTGTTCATTACTAGTATATAGAAATGCAATAGATTTTTGTAGGTATATCTTATATTTTATGATCTGACTGAACTCACTTATTAGTTCTAAGAGATTTTTGTAGACTCCTTGGAATTTCTACATAGACAATTATGTCTTCTGCAAAGAAAGACATTTTATTTCTTTTTTTTTCCAATCAGGATGCTTTTTATTTCCTCTTTTTGCCTTATTGTGCTGGCTAGTTATAGCATTGTGTTAATAAAAGGAAGTGGACATATTTACCTTATTTTCAAACCTATAGATAAAGCAGTCAGTCTTTCACCATTAAGTACAAAGTTAGCTGTAGGATTATCATCATATTATGTCTCTCTCTTTCTCTGGTCATTTTCTTTTCTCAGAAGCCTACCTTACCTCATATTAATATACCCAATCCTGGTTTCTTTTAATTAATACTTGCATGATTATTCTTTCCCATTTGTTTATTTTCTACCTGCCTATATTTAAAGTTAATTTCTACTAGACAGCATATATTTAGGTCATGTTATGACATCCACTCTGCAATCTGTTTTGATTTGGTATATCTAGACCATTTATGTTTTATGTAATTATTAATATGCTAGGACTTAAATCTGCTATTTTATTTCTTTTCTATTTTATCTGTTTTTTTGTGTTTCTCTTTTTCATGCCTTACTATGGGTAACATGGACATATTTTCAAATTCCATTTTGATTTTTCTGTTTCATTTTAGATGTAGATTTTGGTATAGATTTTTGGTGGTTGTGGTAAGTATTATATATACAAAATTCATCATAGTCTAGGTGTCATCAGTTTACCAGTTTGAGTAAAGAGTAGAAATCTTACCTCCATTTATATCCCTTTATCCTCCTTCTTTTATAACATAATTGTCTTAAATATTTCCTCTACACAAATTTAAAACCACATCAACCCTTATAGCACTGACAGATATAATTTTCATTTTAACCAAACATAACTTTTAAAACTCCAGAGAAGGAAAATCTATTTTATTTACCTCTATTTTCACATTCAATTTTCTTTCTTCCTCCCTGATATTTCAAGCTTCTTTCTGGTACTGTTTCCTTTTTAAGAGAACATTCCTGTCTGGGAGGGAGAGGTATGTCTCGTTGCCACTCCTATGTGACTTCCACTGAGCCTATAAGTGGGGTGGTCTTATTACTACCGGCTGGCAATATAAGTCCTGACATGCAACTCAGCCTCTTCTGACCCCATCCCAGCAGGGGAGGAGCTGGGCCCCTCATTACTGCTGGGTGGAGTGGACATAGACATTCAGAAAGAACTTCTATTGGCCATTCTTTTAGGGTAAGTCTGCTGGCAACAAATTCTTAATTTTCTTTTATCTGAGAATGTCTTGTTTTCCCTTTTATTCCTGAGGGGTATTTTTGCTGGGTATAGAATTCTGAGTTGTTTTGTTCAGTACTTTACAAATGTGGTATTGTTTCCTTGTAACTTTATGGTTTCTGATCAGAAATTCTCTCCATTTGAGTCTTTTTGTTTGGTTGGTTGTTTTTGTTTTGTTTTGTTTTGTTTTGTTTTGGTGTAGGTAATTTGTTGTTTCTCTAACTGCTTTCAAAAATTTTCCTTTTTCTATAGCTTTCAGAAGTTGGACTATGATGGATCTTGGTGTGAATTAGTTTTAATTTATCTTGTTTCAGGTTCTCTCAAGTCCTTGAATATGTAGCTTTATGTCTCTTGCCAAATTTGGGAAGTTCTCGGCCTTTAATTCTTTGAATACTTTGAAAGAATTATTTGAATTCTTTCAGCTCTGTCCTCTTTCTCCTTTGGTTCCAGGAAATCAGTTACACAAATGATAGCTCCTTTGTCATATCCTCCCAGGTCCTTGAAGCTCTGTCAATTCTTTTCCGTCTATTTCATCTGTTTTTCAGACTGGATAGTTTCTATTTTTTAATCATCCAATTCATTGATTCTTTCCTCTGTCCCCTCCTGTCTAGTGTTGAGTACATACATTGATTTTTTTTTTCAATTCTGAAATTTTCATCTAGTTCTAATTTATATCTTCTTTTTTTTGCTGAGAATTTCTATTTATCTGCTAAGATCTTCTATTCTTTGTTTTAAGCATGTTCATAATTGCTCATGAAGCATTTTTATGGATGGCTGCTTTAAAATCTCTCAGCTAATTCTAACATTTGTATCATCTTGATATTGGCATCTGTTGATTGCCTTTTATCATTCAGTTTGAGATATTCCTGGTTCTTGATAAGATTCATGATTATCTATTGAAACATAGATATTTTGTATTATGTTATGAGACTTTGGATCTTTTTAAAAATATTCTGCCTTAGCTGGCTTTCTCTGACACTGCTGTTGCAGAAGATGTGCCACCTCATTAATGTGAAGTAGGGACAAAAATCCAGGTTCACCACTTGGCTTCCACTGACACCTAAAGGGAGGTCAATCTCCTTATTACTGATGGGTGAGGATGGGAATTAAAGTTTCTCACTAGGCTTCCACTTAAACCATCCTGGCTCGGAGGGATAGGTGTGCCTTGTTACCACTCCTGTGTGACCTCCACTGACTTCCACGGACACTATGAGGGGGATGGTCTTATTGCTACTGGCAGGTAGTATAAGTCCTGACACTCAACTTGGCCTCCTCTGACACCACCCCAGCAGGGAAGGAGCAGCACACCTCATTACTGCTGAGTGAAGAAGACATAGAAGTTCAGGCTCCCTATGTTGTCTCTCCTCAACATTTTAAAACATTCTTTTTTGTGTGATGCAGAATATTTAAGCACTCCAAATCTCTCTTCCAACCAAAATATCCAAATTCACCTTAACTTGGATGACAAGTGAGTGCTTTACTTTAGCATAGTCCAATCTCTTTAAAGAGCAGTTGGAATTATACCTCTCAATAATATTTTGCTTTAAATTACATATTTGGATTACTTCCTCTGTAATGGGTTTTCTGATTTTATTCCAATTTTCTTGCTGAGTTTTCACCAAAGTTAATCTTAGCCTGTCAGCATTTAAAAAAAAAAAAGCAAAGACATCATTTATGAGGATATATGCATATTGGTAATATTACAATAAAGTTGTAATACCCATAGCTTCATTATTAAGATTGTGAACTGCTGAAATCCACCAGAAAATAATTTTTTAAATTTTTAATTAAGTTTTTTAAAATTATCACATAGGAAAGTTGACGTGTGTGTGTGTGCAATTCTATAAATTTAGCAAATATTCATTTGTGTAACCAGCACCACAATTAGGATACAGAACCATTTGGTCATCTAAAAAACTCTCTCATTCTATCCCTTCAGTCACAACTCTCATTCACCCCAATCCTAACAATTACTGATCTATTCTCTATTACTGTAGTCTTCTCTTTTCAAGACTATAAGGTAAAGGGAATCATACAGTATGTGACCTTTTGAAATTGTCTTCTTACACTTAGCTTAATACTACTGAGATGCAGCCAAGCTGCTGAGTCAATCAACAGCTTGTTCCTTTATAGTGCTGAATGGTATTTCATTGTATGGATGTATCTCTTGTTGTTTGTTCATTGAAGGAGATTTGGGTTGGCTACAGTTTTTGGTAATTATGAATAGAGCTGCTAGAAACATTAGCCTATTGGGTTTTGTGTGAATATAAATTTCCATTCTATTTGGATAAATAGCAAAGAATGAGGTATCCATGTCATATAGTGAGCGTATGTTTAATTTTATAAGAAACTGCCAAACTGTTTTCGAGTGGCTGTACATTTTTTCTTTCCCAATGTGATAATTCCAGTTGTTCTGCATCCTTGCCAGTAGTTGGTAATGTGTGTGTGTGTGTGTGTGTGTGTGTGTGTGTGTGTGTGTTTTATCTTTTAGCCATTCTTTTACATGTGTAGTTGTATTATAGAGGTTTTACTTTCTATTTCTTTAATGGCTTATAATACTGAATAGTTTTCCATATGCTTGTCATCATTACATCTTATGGTGAAGCATCTGTTCAAATATTTTGACATATTTAACTGGATTGTTTATATTCCAAGTCTCGGATTTTGAGAGTTCTTTATATATTCCGGATACAACTCTATTGTCAGATATATTTTTTGCAAACATTTTATCCTGGGCTATTGCTGGTATTTTCATTCTCTTTACAATTACTTTCACAAAGCAAAAGTTTTTTATTTTGATGAAGTTTGATTGATCAGTTCTGTCGTTTTTTGGCACCATGTCTGAAAACTCTTTGCCCAATTCCAGTTCAGGAAGATTTTCTCCAAAAAGTTTCATAGTTTTAGATTTACATATATATCTATAACATATTTAAGTTTATTTTTGCATAAGGTGAAAGTTAGGTCAGGTTTCATTTTCCTATTGAAAAGATTATCCTTTCTCCACTAAATTGTTATTGTATTTTTGTCAATTGTACATATTTGTGTAATATTTACCATTGTCATTCTGGAATATAATATGTCTTTTGTAAGATCTGCCCTCTTCCCATCACGTATCTTTGTATTGCTTCATTTTGTCTTCATTAATTCACTTATTTCTAGGAATTTTGCTAGACATTTTTAGCTAGGAATTTTAGCTGGAAATAAAGGTTGTATGCTTGAGGCAGGAGAATAGGGTCTGGAGGCAGGGAACCTAAGGCTGTTTCATGCCGACTTCCTAGAACTAAATTGAAAGGAAAATCCTAACTTTACACGCCTAAGTAACAAAAGGACCAGAGGCTACTGCCTTTGACCTTTTCTGCAGGCAGATGGGAAATTGTCTGTCCGCAACAAATCAGACTGATTGCAGGTCCAGTCTTCCTTTGCAAGTTTGTAACTTCACTCCAGCTTCTGAATGGTTGCTGTCCACAATCAATCAGATTGATTGTGGGTGGAGTATTCGTTTGCATTGAAGTATAACTTTGTAACTTCACCCTAGCCTCTGATTGACAACCAATCAGATGTTTGCACAGGAGTGTGACCTTTGTAACTTCACTTCAGCCCCTGGTTGGCTGCTTTCTGCAACCAATCAGACTGATGGCAAGCTACCACTTCACTGACATGAGGTGAGCATGAAGTGGCCAATGGGAAAATTCTAGGGAGTATTTGGACCCAAGAAGATTCTGTATCCTGGCCCTAGAACTACCGCTCAGCACACTCCCACACTGTAGAGTGTACTTTCATTTTCAATAAATCCCTGCTTTCATTCTTTCATTCTTTTGTTGCTTCATTCTTTCTTTGCTTTGCTGGCGTTTTGTCCAACTCTTTGTTCAAAACACCAAGAACCTGGACAACTTGCAATCACGACCCTCTACAGGTGACATGCTGACTGACACTGTTTCTTTCAGTCTTCTCAAAAGAGTAGAAAAACTTCTCCAAGTGGCATTGCTCTTCATTACATAGAAACGGAAACAGACTTTTTTTTCTTTTTTGAGATGGAGTCTTGCTCTGTCGCCCAGGCTGGAGTGCAGTGGAACGATCTGCAAGCTCCGCCTCCCGGGTTCAAGCCATTCTCCTGCCTCAGCCTCCGGAGTAGCTGGGACTACAGGCACCCACCACCACGCCCGGGTAATATTTTGTATTTTTAGTGGAGACGGGGTTTCACCGTGTTAGCCAGGATGGTCTCGATTTCCTGTCCTCATGATCCGCCCACCTCGGCCTCCCAAAGTGCTGGGATTACAGGCATGAGCCACTGCGCCCGGCCAGAAACAGACATTCTTATTCCTACAGAGCCCGTCATGACAACAGCTGCCCTGCAGCACCTCTTCCAGACATCACAATGGGAAACAGGAAATACGCTGTCCCTCTCCAACCTCTGCCTTCATCTCCCCTCCCCTTGTACAAGTTCCTTCACAGAAGTTCTTTCACATAAATTTTGTGCAAATGGATTCCTGTGGACTTCAACTCTGACAAGTCTGAATCCCAGTGGAAATGCAAGTTAGCCTCAAACTGAGAACCTCATACTACATTCAGAATATGTTTTCATGTTTCCAAAATGTCACCAACAATGAGATGACAGGAACCTGAACCAAAAGGATGAGAGTAGAGATGGAAAGTAAATGTTGTTACAAAGGCTAAATCAGAAATTTGTCCCAGATCTAGTATGGATCATGAAGAAGAAGATAGAATGAAAGAACACTCTTACCATTCTGAGTGCCGAAAGCAGGAGGTGGTTCCTAAAAATATGAAGTTTGGGTGAGTTCGGTTGTAAACACATTTAGTTAGAGATGACTTTAAAGACATTAAGTGGAAATACTCAGCAGAAAGTTGAAAAGATAGGTAAGAAGTTCTTAGAATATAAAATAGGGAGCTATCAATATAAGGTGAAAAAGTTAAGCTATAAGAATGAACAATATCTCTGAGAGAGAGAGATTATAGAGAAAGAAAAGCAAAAGGTTGAGGATTTAGCCTTGAAATTAATGAGTTGCATTCAAGTGGTCACCAAAGACCAGGCAAAGAGAGGTGCCAAACGCAAACAGAAAAGAGGTAGTTGAAAAGGGGCAAAGAGCTTTCCTTTGCTGCAGGCACTAAATTAATTTTTGCTTTAACGTAAGGACTTTGTTGTATATTTGTTTTGTTTTGCTTGCTATTGTTATTGTGTGTTTGCTGTACCAGCTGATGCTCAGGAATATCACTCTCTACTTGGCCCTGCTTTATCTTCTTCTATAAGGAAGAAAATGCTTTCTGCTCTCTGAGGGGTGGGAAAGCCAGGAGACTAAACTTTCACACTATCACCAACAATACAATGTCCTGTAATGATAATTTTCTAATTTTACCCTTTCAAAAAAAAAGAGAGCATTTCTGCTTTCAGCAGTTTTATTGCTACCAGATATCTTCTGATTAATTATTTGCCTTTATGAATAACTGTTCTTTCCAAAACAATCTAAGAGGTTCCTTATATATTCCAAGACTTAATCAGATTATACACAAGGAGGTTTTCAAATTAAGTATTTCGTTTTCCAATTACAAATAAAAATACTGTGGACCCATTTGGAAAAAATAGGATATTATAAAAAATACATAAAGAAGAATGAATGAATCATTCAAAATCCAACTAACTGGACATTATAGAAAGAGCATTTCTTTTAGTTTTTTTATGTTGAGATAATATTTTATATAAAAGTCACATTTTACTTTTTCACTTAATAAAGTAAAAGATTTTCTCTATAGTATTACAGACTCTTCATAAGCATAATATTTAAAGCATGCAAAATAATTCAGCATAGGTGTGTCCAATATTTATTAGTCATTAGCCAGTTTTTAGCATTTGAATTGCAATCTAATTTTTTTAGTACAAAAATATTGTAGAAAACTGTATTTTTTAATTTTTAAAATCATCAATTTTTTACTCATTCCCACATAAAATAGATTTAATATGAACATCAATTTCAGTTAAATGCAAAAAGGTGATGTTTCACTGCATATGAAATTCCTCAGGTCCTCTCTGCATGTGAAATTCCCATCATGCACAAAAATGATCCAAAGACTTCTTTCTGGGTAATGAATACAAAACTAGAGTTAATCCTTCTCCTTTGCTGTATTAATCCCATATCTCTCTTCTCATAACTCTATTTCCTTTTCCTTTTTAAAAATCCTAATTACTTTAAATTATTTTCTGCCATAAAGTTCACTGGGCTTTGGTTATTTATAGGTATCCTATACAATGAGAGAAGAATGTCTATCTTCATTATGTTCAAGTACCCAGATAAATGAACCTGCTGTTATAAGGTATTATCTTAAAGCCTTTCTGATGTTTTCTCTTAGGACTTGATTGCAATGAAATGTTCACACTGGGGCTGGGGTACATAGAATACTAGGCAGAGAGTTATTATTGTGGTTTAAAAATTTGTTACCAACAGTTTATAAAATTTTTCAACTAAAGCAATTTTTAAAAACATGTAATCTGAGAATAATATGGTTTCAAAATTAAGCTGTATAGTGTTTTCTCTACAAACAACTTCTATTGCTTCTCTTACTATACCTTGCTAGAGTTCTACTTTTGACCGTCTTACTCTTTGCCTCCAAAGTTGTGGGGCAGACATGCAGTTTGGTCCTTTTGTTGAGTCACTGAGCACAAGACATTGGAATGATCTAGTACAAAGGCTTCATTTTATAAGTGAGGTCACTGGATCTTACAAATTTTAAGGAATCTGTCCTACATCATGCAGCTAGCTGGTACATGGCTGATTTGAAGCGAGTGTATTTTCCAAAATACTATGCTACATCATAAAGAGGGATAATTACAAGTTAGCTGAAAACATTTCTTCTGGGAGGGTAAATCATTCAGAGAGAAAAATTGGGATGACTTTAGGCTTTAATTTAAAAACCGTTTGTAAAGGTATGAACCATACAGAGCAAGAGCATAAATCTGACTCAGGATAAATCCACCCCACTTTAGCCATGGTGATCTTACCTTCAGTGAGAGATGAAAAGAGGAATCTTGAAGCTTATTTTACCAAATGACTTCAGTTGTATATTAGTCCATTTTCACATTGCTATAAAGAATTGCCTGAAACTGGGTAATTTATAAAGGAAAGAGGCTTAGTTGACTGACTCACAGTTCAGCATGTCTCGGGAGGCCTCAAGAAACTTAGCATTGTGGTGGAAGGCAAAGGGGAAGCAAGGCACCTTCTTCACAGGGTGTCAGGAAGGAGAATGAACACAGGTGGAACTATCAAACACTTATAAAACCATCACATCTCGTGAAAACTGACTCACTATCATGAGAACAGCTTGGAGGAAGCCGCCTCCATGATTCAGTTGCCTCCCCCTTGTCTCTTCCTTGACATTTGGGGATTATGGTGATTATGGGGATTACAATTCAAGATGAAATTTTGGGTGGGGACACACCCAAACCATATCAAGACCACTTTAATTACAGTGGCTATTTTAATAACCTCATCGTCCCCAGTAATCTTGTGCTGCATATATACAAGGGTTGTGGGTTGGGGCATATTTGTCACGAAAAAAAAAAAAAAATTGTACATATGTTTCCCAGGATAAAACTTCCAGTATATTCTCAGAACCAATGTTAAATTAATTTTTGTTTTAATGTAAGGAGTTTTTTGTATATCACCCTTAGTTGATTCTGCCCAAAACTAAGATCTTCTCCAAAATGATTTTTTCTTCATTATTATTTATATAACTAGCTAGGACTTTAAAATGGCAGTTTGCCTTACTAAAAAAGTAAAGAAAAGAAAAACTAAAGGGAAAACTAAAGGTTCTGCTTTTTTGAGCACCCAACTATATAAGTCAATAAATGTTTAAAAACAAGATCTCTCTATATCTTCCACTACCAAGTATTGTGTTTTGCACAAACCAGTTCACCATTAAATATCTATGGAAGGAGACAAATATCCATGGAAAGGAGAAAAAGAAAGAAAGGGGAGAAGGAAGAAAAAAAATGTATGAGCTTTAGACAAAGAAGAAAAAGAAAGAACTAACATAACCGACATCTAACCATTTGTTGGACATTTGCCTTATAGGCTTATTTTATCCTAACAAAGAGAATAGGAATTTTATCTATACTTAGCTGATGAAGGAAATGAAGTTCAAAGTTCATGTATAGTTAAGGAGCCATGAAGAGAGAAATTCAAACTGCTACACTTCCAGCTCTCCCTGTCTTCACTATGGTATTTTCCTAGGATTACTGTAACAGCTTCCTGACTCTCCTTGCTTCCACTTTAGCTTCCCTAAAAATAGTAACTGCTCAGCAACCAGAGCCTCTTTAAAATATAAATCAGATTGTGTCACTGTTCCCTGCGTGAATCATTCTGGTGGCTTCCTTTTGCATTTAGAATAAAATGTAAATTTCTTCATAAGTCTAAAAAGCCCTAC
Organism: Homo sapiens; assembly: GCF_000001405.40. Lineage (NCBI taxonomy): Eukaryota > Metazoa > Chordata > Mammalia > Primates > Hominidae > Homo > Homo sapiens. The sequence continues at coordinate 222,093 of NW_025791759.1, forward strand.
CTGACCTGGCCTGTACCTCTGTCTCCAACACCCTATCACTCTCACTCTCACTAGCCTCCAGCCATACTACTTTCTAAGAATACAAGAATACAAAGCCCACACCCAGCCTTGGCCTTTCAACTTCCCAGATTCCTCCTGCCTGAAATGCTTTCCTCTGCAGGCCAGATCTGACTCCCGCACCCCTGCCTGTTTTTCTAAATAAAGACTTACACGGGAGAGATAGCTCAATTCCAGCACTTTGGGAGGCTGAGGCAGGCAGATCACGAGGTCAGGAGTTCGAGACCAGCCTGACTAACATGGTGAAACCCCATCTCTACTAAAAATACAAAAATTAGCCTGGTGTGAGGGCGCACACCTGTAATCCGAGCTACTTGGGAGGCTGAGGCAGGAGAATCACTTGAACCTGGAATGCGGAGGTTGCAGTGAGCCAAGATTGTGCCACTGCACTCCAGCCTGGGCAACAGAGTGAGACTCTGTCTCAAAAAAAAAAAAAAAAAAAAAAAAAAAAAAGCAAGACTTATTAGTACACACCCACACCCATTCCTTTATGTATTACCTATAGCTGCCCTAAATTATGACCTATCGGCCTCTATCTGTTCACTTATATGATGTTTCCTTCTCAGTTGCTGCTTCCAAAGAGAGGCCTTCTCTGACTACCCAGTCTAAAATACCTCCTTGCCACAAATCTTATCATCCTATTGTCCTTATAAGATTTATTTTACTCATTTATTGATGTATTAATTATCTAACTCCTCTCTCTAGAATCTGTGTTCTATGAGAGTAGTAGCCTTACAAGTCTTATTTATAACATTTGCCAGTTACTAACATAGAGTCATCTCTTGATAAATATTTTTAGTAAATGAATATACGATGGAACACTTTGTTTTTATTACTCCAAAATTCAAGATTTTTTATTACATAATGACTCTCTCTAACAACAAAAGAATGTCTGGCCATAGGAAAGAACAATGTATAATTAAGCAATTTTTGTTCCGTTCTGAAGATCTTTTTGATATTCAGCAGAGATAGGCATCATACCATCCTCTAGAAAACCGTAAAGTCTACGAAACACAGAGTACACATTTGTAGAATACATATTTGTAGCGTGCTCTCCAACTTAATGGGCAGTGCCATATGAGATCAATTTATAACAACCAGGCAAAAGCATTTGGAAGGTTTCCGCATGGGGAGGAGTTCGTTCTGGGTTAGTCCTGGAAAACACTTCAAAGTAAGCAGTGTATCTTTTGAGCTCAATAACTTGACTTTTGTCTTCATAGCATTCCCTGTTTCCACTGATGCAATCACTACCCTCCGGCTGATTAATCATGATATACCCAAACAGTATCAAAGCTGCTATGGTCTGAATGTTGTGGTCCCAAAAATTCGTATGTCAGAAGCTAATACCCAATATGATACGAAGGGGCCTTCAAGAAGTGATTAAGTCATGAGTGCTGCACCCTCATAAATGTAATTTGTACCCTTATAAAGGAGGCTTAAGCAAGCTTCCTTGCCCCTTCTGCCAACTGAGGACACAGCAAGTGCCATCTATGTGAAACAGACCCTCATCAGAACCAAATCTGCTAGCACTTTGATCTTAGACTTCTCAGCCTCCAGAGCTATAAGCAATAAATTTCTGCTGTTTTATAAATTACCCAGTCTAAGGTATTTTGTTACAACAGCCCAAAAGGACTAAGAAATAAGCCCATAAGACAGCTACCCAAGCTTGTGACAGCCTTTTCCGATAAAGTTTACTCATCTTGAGGCTGATTCCTTAAATACCTTTATCTGCTACTAAAAGTTGATGGTAATACACTGATCATGCAAATAAAAAGCTGGTAACAAGTCAGCTGATATGTTGCTCCCTACTTGAAAGAGCTGTTCTTGGAAAGCCATTTGCCTTCATTTAGGGTCATTAAGAAAAAAGATATTTTAAACCTTTTTGCAAGCCAAGTTACTATCATTACCTCCTGGATGTCCCTAAATGTATAATATTCTATCAACCAAGTCTTGGGGTAAGAATGGCTCTAATTAGTTGGGACATCTGTAGTAATTGTAAAGTGAGTATATAGGATTAGATAATCTCTAAGTCCCTTCAATTCCAAAACCCTATGCTTTTATAATGAACTTTATGGACTTCAGAGCAGTGGGGAAGTATATGGAGTATGGACCCTGAATGAAACATCACATTGATGGGAAATAGAATGTCGTTTTTTTTGGGGGGAAATACCTTAATCTTGTTAAGCCGTAGTTTCCTAGGTACAATATAGACATAATAATGCCTGCCTCTTCTGTAGTTATGATAATTACAATGCGCTAATTGCATATAAAGCAACTTAGAGCTGTAGCTAGCTGATAAATGAAACCTAGTTTTATTATTATTGGGATTCTAGTGTTCTCAACTCTCAATATGGTAGTATGATACTGAATATTACATTGGTTATGTTCTGATAAAATCATCATCTTAGGAAATGAGACATACTAGAGATAAATTTCAAAGAACTGGAAGAATGTGGAAGAGTTGATAAAGTGAGCCAACAAGGATGAGCTCTTGTCTTGGAATTTGGAGGGTTAATTAACACAGCTACACAAATGAACTATGACCTATTTTTGACCTTAAATTAAGAAACTTGTTATCATAGGGAGATTATTAAGGACACATGGGGGTAGGAAGGGACATAAATGAGAAAACTATGTGTTGGCCTTGTCTTCAGACTGATGAACTGCTCTTGTAGTGTAAAACAAGATGGAACCTGCCTTGTTATTAGAACGGAATGTGCAAGCTGCAGGTAGACTATATCAACCCAAATGTGATGAGGAATGATTGTCTTACACTAAGGAGGTTTGAGACTTGGTAAAGCTCCTTATTATATTTACCAAATTTCTTAGCATTGAAATCTTTACTTTCTAAACTTATCCAATTTATTCTGTGTAATGAAATGAAGAAAATCATATTTCCCAAAATTCCTCTTAGGGAGACTTTGTATTTATTCAAAAGAAATTACTTTTTTTGGAGTATGAGACCCTAAGGAAATGCCGAAGGAACACAATACAGCAATTAAATTGTTCCGCTTACTAAAGGGATGAGGAATTTTAACAGGAGTGAATCTTAGAGGCGGAGGAAGAGGCCAGTGAGGCAGGAAGATAGTGGAGAGAGGGAGGAAATAGTAGGAGGGAGCCAGAAGACCTATTCATTGAGTAACAGAGAAGGGATTTAGGAAAACATTAGAAATGACTAATTGGAGGGGGTGTTAGATTTGCTTTAAGGGTGCAATGTAAAGTCCTTCATCTATTTTCTTTTACAGCTCTTCAAGAATGCCATTATCATTGCTTACCCAGGCTTTTGGAGATTATTTTGCAGACTTGAAGAGGTGCCAAGTTCTGTGTTCAGATTAGTACAGGGAGAAAACAGAATGTTCCAGAGTTTCATAACTTAGGGGACAGGGTGGGAGAGCCAATATCAGAGTCAGATGTAGTCATATTTCTTTGTGGTTTCTCATAATGTTTTTAATGAATTTTTTAAAAATACCTCATGTAAACTGTAATATGGATAATTAAAACCAGAGAAGCAGGAGAACTCTAAATGCGACAGAAAGACCCTCACAAGAGGGAGACGCAAACTTAGAAGGTAGAGTTCAGGGACTAGTTCTGGCATTAATGTCCAAAAGAAATATAATTAAATTACATATGTAATTTTAATGTTTCTAGTGGTCAAAGTTTTTAAATGCAGAAATAAAGAAATAAAATTAATTTGAATAATATATTTTATTAAGTCAATATTTCTTTAAAATATCATTTCACCACTTAATTAGTAAAAAATTATTAATGAGACATTTTACATTTACTTTACACTAAGTCTTTGAAATTCAGTGTGCATTTTATTCTTATAGAACCGTTCATACTGTTCTATACCGGACAGCACTGACTTAAATTGTCAATCCTATACCTAGTTACATCACAGATGGACAAATTGACAGTAAATCCATCTTTTGAATATTATTGACATGATTTGGGGTTGAAAATTAATACTCTTGATTATGAATAAATGGTTTAAGAAAGAAGACCCAACAGTTATTGAATATTACTACATTTAGCTGCTATAATAAGCAATTCCATATATTATCACATTTAATCCTTTCAAAAAGCATCTGATGAGGGATCGTTATTGAGATGAAAATGGTGGACTCATGTTCAACATCTACTTCACTCTTCTAGTTTGCCTTTCCAAATGGCAGAGAGTGAAAGGCTAAAAAGTATATTTCCTGGACTCCCTTGAAACTACAGTTCTCAAGGTGATTTTGGTTCAGCCCATCAGATATTTAGAGGCTGGTAGTAAGACAGAGACTACATATCTTCCTCTTTTTTTTTTTTTTTTTTTTTGCCATTTTTACTGACAAGCACAGGGACTGATTTTTCAGCAGCAGAATTGAACCAAGGTGCCATCTTCCAGCCTTTCCTTATGGGTATTGAGAAGCAGGGCCCTGGGCAATGTTGCTGGAGTAGATTAGAGCAAATGCAGTGCGACTCTAGAGGAAGCATCTCTCTAAATATGTGAACTTTTGAATTTTGTGGATTTCTAATGCTGGTTGTAGCGGTGTACAATGTGGAGCAATCTGCATCCTAATTGTAAAAGAAGCAGGTGTTCCTTTGACTCAGTTCTGCAGTATGGATGCAGAGGCTTCTCCTCAATGCTCATGCTAGATTCTGTTCCTTTCATCCAATGGTTCTGAAAGCCATTGCCACAGAACATCACACTGATCCACCATATCAATCACATCATGTTGATCAGACAGGGTGAGTGCAATGTGGCTAGCATACTAGAGGGTTTGGTAAGATACATGTACTACAGAGAGAGAGAAAAAAAAAACTCTGAACACTCAGAAATTTGTCATTTTGGTTTCAGAAATCCTGTGGTCAGAGGTATGCTACGACACTCCCTCCAAATAAAACAAGTTGGTGCATCTCACATCCCATACCACAAAAAAAGGAAGCACAATACTTGGTAGGCCCCTTTTCATTCTGGAGGCAGTAAGTCCACAAACTAGGTGTAATGCTCTAGCTTTTATATTACATGATAGCCTTGCAACTTTGAGTAGGACTTGGAACAGAAGGAGTTCTGCAGCAGATACAGGTTGTAGTGCAATTAGACCTGTCACTTGGGCTATATGATTTAGCAGACCTTATTTTGTTGTAGCTGTCAATGGTAGAAAAATAAGTAGTGTAGAACATATGGCAAGCTCTAGAGGAAGAATCACAACGTGAGTCTTTGAGGTTCTGTAGCAGGGTTATGCCTTGTAGAGCAGAGAATCACAAACTTTTGGAAAATCAGCCCCTGGCAAGCTACGAGGCCCTAGTAGAGATAGAATGTTTGGCAACAATGGACACCAGTGATCATGCATTTAGAATTTTTCTTCATGAAGTAGATCTTGCTTGACCTTCAAAACTGTAAAGTCAGATAGGCCCAGTAACAATTATTCAAAAGATCCACAGTATACATCAGAGACAGCACAAGCAGGACCAGAAGGCAAAAACATAAAAGCAAGTTGCATAAACATGTAAACTAAATCTCCATGTCACCAGCCAGGGTGGTATCTGCATCACCCTTCCCTAGTTCACTATGAAGTTTCTGCATAAAGAAAATGTACTAGCTTGGTTTGTGGATGCATCAACTCAATATGTGGGTACAAGTCAAAAATAGATGCATTATAGCCTCACTCAAGGATAGCCTTCAAAGATGGTGCAGAAGGAAAGTTTTCCTAACTGGTGGGGCTTTGGATGGTACACTTGATTATTTACTTTTTGCTAAATGAGAAGTGCCCCTACATTAGAATATGTGTAGACTCATAAGCATAACAAATAGCCTGACTTGTTTGTCAGGAACCTAAAAGGAAAAGGATTGGAAGACTGCAGACAAGAAAGTCTGAAATAGAGGCATGTGGATGTATATGTGAGAGTGGACATGAAGTGTGAACCTTGTATCACACATTTGTTACTACCAGGAAGCATCAACCATAGAAGAATCACCAAACAATCAAGTAGATGGAGTGACTCAGCCACTTGATATTAGCCAGCTTTTATCAGTGATCAACTTAGTCCTGATTTGACAGGAACATCTTCAACAGTGGCAGAGATAGAGGCTATGCATGTATTGCCATTCACTAAGCTTTTGATAACTACTAGCACCTCTGATTATCCAACTGCCAGTAACAGAGACCAATAATGTACTCCAAGTATAGCACTATTTATCAAGGAGACAAACCAGCTATTTATTGGCAAGTTGACTACATTGGGCTCCTTTCTTCCTGGAAGGGTTAGCAGTTTGTCCTCACAGGACAGAAACTTACTCTAGGTAATGGTTTCCTTTTCCTGCCTGGAGATCCTCTATCTGCACCTCTATTGGGGGTTTACAGACTACTAGATCCTCAAGCATGAAATCCTGCTCTATAAATCATCCAACCATTGGACCCACCTTGCAGCAAAGGAGGTGCAGGAGTGGGCCCATGACCATGGTATCCACTAACTGTACCACAAGCTGAATAATTTAGAAGCAGCCTGCCTGAGAGGATATTGGAATGACCTGCTAAAGACATAGCTGAAGTACCAGCTTGGAATAAACCATTTGCAAAGATAAGGTGCTTTCTTCCAAAACACAGTATGTACACTGGATCAGAGACATCTGTCTATACGATGCTGTGTCACTAGTGGGAATAATGCATAGGTCCAAGTCCAAGAAGTAAAAACAGAAGTATCCCCACTTACCATCATTTCTGTGTCCCTTTGGGAGAATTTGTGCCTTCTGTCTGTTTATTCTGAGCCTTGCAATGTTAAAGGTCCTGGTGCCCCCAAAAGGCCCACCCTACACAGGGACACATCAAGGGTGCCATTGAATTACAACCTATGACTGCCACCTGGGCGTTTTGGACTTTTTATATTCAAGGACTAGCAGGTAAGAAAAGGAAATTGTGACAGCAGGAAGAGGTAGGGATGTTTTTACACAGTAGGGACACCAAGAAATAATTGTGGAACTCAGTGATTCATTTAGATTAGATACTTCTTGGTAATTCCTTGACAATTGTGATTGTGAATGTTCAAGTGCAATAACCTCTACCTGTGAAGGATGGGATTACTAGACTCAGACATCTCAGGAACAAGGGTTGCGGTGAAACCACAAGTAAGCCACTGAGAACTTTAGAAGTAAGAGCTGAAAGTGAGGGGGAAGTTAGAATTAATAGATGAAGAAGAAAATAATAGTATCAGCTGTGGCCCCAAGACAGACTGCAAAGATGAAGGCTACAGTTTTTCCCACTAATCTCCATCATCTAGGTTTCTCTTCAGAAAGAAAGGCTTCGTGGAAGCCTTAAAGAGGTACTGCCTGAAGGTATATTGAAAATGTATCCATGCCATATAAAAGGTAGACTATTAAAGGTGTGGAGATAACCTATTCAGATTCCCTCTTCAAGAAAGAATTTGTTACCTATACGCAAAGAGTATGGACAGATAAGAGTCTCAAGATGTTAACACCTCCAAGTCCATGGGGGCTTTTGATTCAAGGTCATATTCTTTTGGGGGTCTCCCAGCCAATGACTAAACAAGACTGTGGTACGGAGGCCATTTCTACCAATATGGGATTCCTTTACTAAGTCGTCATCTCTCCAGTGTTCCCCAATGGGTTGGGAGGGACTTTGTCAAATCTACAGCACAGCCTGATCACACACACTCCCTATTCTCGCTTCCTCCCTTTTGCTTTCATAGGTCACTCCACAATAGACCTTTCACACTCCTATCTCCAATTCAGATTCTGTTTCCTGAAAGACTCAGATGAAACAAAGTGTTACCTTTTTTCATGAAGGTTTCTTCTTGGTAGGGAGAAGTATCATAAACAAATTCATAAATATACAAATATAATGTCACACATTATTTTTAATAAAATAATACAGAGCAAGGGTAATACAGAGGCTTTTTTTTTTTTTTTTTTTTTGAGACGGAGTCTGGCTCTGTCGCCTAGGCTGGAGTGCAGTGGCGCGATGTCGGCTCACTGCAAGCTCCGCCTCCCGGGTTCACGCCATTTTCCTGCCTCTGCCTCGCGAATAGCTGGGACTACAGGCGCCTGCCACCGCGCCTGGCTAATTTTTTTGCATTTTTAGTAGAGACAGGGTTTCACTGTGTTAGCCAGGATGGTCTCGATCTCCTGACCTTGTGATCCGCCCGCCTCGGCCTCCCAAAGTGCTGGGATTACAGGCGTCAGCCACTGCGCCCGGCCAGAGGCATTTTTATTAATGGGCTGGGCTTGTGAGACTTCTGTAAAAAAGCGACATGTGAGTAGAGACCTGAGTAAACCACAGAAATATGAGATATACAGATATCTGAAGAAAGTGAGTATGTTTTTGCCTTATATCACATTCAACACAGTGGCTTTTCCAAATCACCAACTATAGCCCTACTCATTCCAGTCTTAGTCAGTGACTTGGTATCCTACCTTACCAGGAATATTAAGGCATTTTGACATGTGTTCCTTCAAATCTCTCCTCTTAACCAAATGTCTCTCTGTATCTTTATTCTACCTCTGTTGCCCTGTGACCCTCTTTGGGGAAGAAGAGTCTGCTCTCATGGCCAACACTAATCTCTCCATTTGTAACTGAAGACAAGCAATGTAGTGGTGTTCTCAACTGCCAAGGAAAAATTGTGCATTTCTGCCTCCGGGGAACACTGCCATTTTCACAGAGTATGAATCAGAAACTACTGATGCTTCATAAAATAAGACAGATGACTCTCAGTGCCATATTGCAAAAGGACATGTTCAGTAGACTGTTCATTAATTTATTATTTAGTGAGCACCTGCTTATGTGCCTCATATTAGCAGTGATAGTAGAAAGCCAGGACCCCAAATCTTTGGCCAGCTGTCTCCTGCTATAAATTCTTAATAGGGCATGTTCGGCACAGATTACACTCCAGGAAATTGCATACATTTGTCCCCAAATAAAGTCCAGTGTCTGATGACCAGGCCTGGTTCACATGTGCCGTCTGAGATTTTCTTCAGCTGGTGCAGATGTAAAGTCTTAGGATAACCTCTTTGACTTTTCCCACCAGGTCTACTACAGGAATTTGGCTAGCTGGGGTTTTTCGTTTGTTTGCTCATTTGTTTGTTTGTTTTAATGAAACAGTAAAAGGAGGGACAGAAAGAAGATCCTGAGAATAAGAACTCAAATCTCCCTAAGTACAGTCCAGGCTTCCCTCACTCCAGGAGCTCACTCCAGGCTTCTCTCTGTGCCCTTTCCAGGACTGTCGGCCTGTCCTGATGCAGACATGCTTCAAAGCCTGGAAAAGTAGGCACTATTGCTGTACCAGCCCCATTGGAATAAGGGCAGAAGCAACAATAATTCCAACTGACAACCTTCTTGAAAAACACATGTAACCTCTTTGACCAACCTGTTAAAAGATATACCTGTTTCTTTTACTCCTCCCAACATCAACACTGTATTATAGTGCCCCAAGAAACCTAAGAATCTTTTTGCTTTTATTCTAAAACTGATAATTACTTCTGTTGTCAATGATGTATCCTGCTTTTATGACCTGTCAGAAAATAAATAATCATATAATAAATAACTGACAAATCATTACACATAAAGTTCAGCATTTTCCATGTCTAAGTGCATCAGTATTTAAGTTCAGTTCTTACTCTTGCCATTGTTGTCTGGATAAACTTGGAAGGATTACCTCCACACACAAACATCACCACTTACACCTTGCACCTCTGGATTCTTCCTAACTCTCACAAAAACTTTGTTCCTATTCCTGAAATTGTGATTTCCCATCATTATGAAGACAATCAAAACTTTGGGAGTCATGGTGATGAGCTCTTAGAAAACCTTTATCCACTTCACAACTGGATGAATTATCTTCTTTCTTTCATCAAGATCAGGTCTGCCACTTGTTCGGAACCCAAATCTAGCACTATAAAACTTCAAAACAATTCTTCCAAGTGTGTAATAATATTCAATGTGTTCTTAAACACAATGTCTGCTATGACCCTCAAAAAAATTTTTTTAATTGTAAAGTGAGCATAGCAGAAAGTGTTAGCTCCATTTTATAGGAGAGAAATGTGGTACACATTTTTTGTGAACCTGTCAAACTCCAAATGTTTTCTTCACTGTAACTGCCTTTACTCTGAATCCATATTGTTTAATTCTCAAAATTTATCTCTTTGTAATGTGACCCTATCTTTGATCAGAGTTGGTAGAATCAGAGAAGTTTATCAAATCCCAGTTAGATCACTCTGATTCCCTCATTTAGGAATTTGGAACTAGGAAAGAAGTAGAAATTGGGAAGTAAAAATGTAGAGAAGAAAATGAAACAGGAGAGTCAGGAAGTGGTGGGGAAAGATGAAAAGAAACTGTCCATGTAGATTAAACTATAACATTAAATTGGTAGTTTTTGTGAGGAAAATAGCCATCTGAACAGAAAAAAAAGGAAGTAAATAGATTACAGACAGAAATGGAGACAAAAAAGTGAGAGAGAGTGCTAAAACTTCCCAACTTCATCATCTAATGTCTTCTTAAGGTGTGGCTACATTCTTGCACTTAAGTTTTATGGGATGCTGCTACAATTTACAATGAATTTTTCTTTTTCTTAAGCTAGGTCTAATTGATTTTTACATTTGCAACCAACATGAAAAATAAGATTCAAAGTGATTAATAGTACCAAAGATCACATTGTCTGGTAATGAAAACTGAAAAATTCAAAAGCAAAGCCCAGGTCCCCTGACTTCTAGTGAATTAATTATGATGGGTTATTTTATCTTAGAGACATCTGTGTAGATCTAGATGGAGCAAAGATAGAAAGATTTGTGCATCAAAGTCAAAAGGAGGAAGACGGTCCCATAATTTTAAAAAGCAAAGATGATTGTAAGGTTGAATGTTGGCCTTGAAAAGATATGTCTACCGGGAACCTGTGGAGGTGACCTTATTTTGAAAGTGTCTTTGCAAATACAATTAAGTTAAAGATCTTGAAATGAGATTATCCTGGATTGGGTGGATCTTAAACCCAAAGACAAGTGTTGTCCTCATAAGAGGAGAACATGAGAGAACAATTGAGTATACTTAATGAAATAATTTTCACAGAAAAGAAGTCAATGTGAAAACAGAGGCAGAGATTGGGGTGATGCATCTGCAAGCCAACAAACACCAAGGATTGCTGGAAACACAGAAAGATGGGAGAGAGCCATGGACTTGACCAGCTCTGTGGAGGTCTTGATTTTAGACTTCTAGCCTCCAGAACTGTGAGAGAATAAATTTCTGTTGTTTCAAGTCACCAAGTTTGTGGTCATTTTTTATAGCAGCCACAGGAAACTAATGCAATGCTTAACAATATAAATAAATACGGAGAATGAAAAGAAAGTAGAGAATAAGAACTAAAGAATACATTACTATAACCTGGGATATTTAAGCTATAAAGTCCGTACGAGAAGGCTAGGGTCAGTATTCACTTGATTCAGGTGTGGTCATCTAGCTTTTATTTAACACTTTGTAAGTGCTGGGGAGACACACTGCTGAGGATACATGAGGAGAAGAAAACATTTGACTTCAAGGAGCTCCCAGTTTGTAAGACTGTGTTGAGGCTGAGTTGTTGACACCTATGCTGCTAAAGAATAATTATTATTCTTAAGTTTACTGCTAAATTTTATTTCTTTGGAAAAAATTATTGAGAAATTAATTGTTTTCTTTTTTCTGTTATGGCCTCATTAGAGAATACATGTCTTTTTTTTTGCTTCTTCATTAACACCAACAAATATGTTATATGCTTCTCTACCACTTCTTACTTTGGAAGCTCTTTGACTGCAGGAGAGTAGTAAACTGTATTTTTTCCATACACTTCAAAACGAGAAAGGCCACCAAGTGGGTATGGCTGGAGACTGTAGCTTTGGGGGGGAAGTGGGTGGCACAGTTTCAAGGGAGTTCATTCTCCTAGAGGAGGAACAGGAGAAGATGGGTCACTTGAAAGAGCTCCATGTCATGGATTCATGAATATCTGCACATTCTTCAAACACAGCACCCCACAAGCAGAAAGATCCCAGAGGAAAACAGCCGTATGAATGCCCATGGAGATTAAACTCTGTGAAAAGAATAATTTTGCAGATTATAATGAAACTAGAACCTGTGAAGGCATCTTTTATTTGTGGTGGAATCAAGGAGAAGAAGTAGACCATAAGATATGAGTTCTCCCACACACATTTTTTCTTTCACTGAAAAAGAAGAGCTTATATGATTTACAGAGTAATGAATCAGACTAACGTACAGCTGATTAGTTCGTTTGCAATTTTAATGAAAAATTCAGTTTCCTATAATGTATGTTTTATACCTAAAATGAACAGTATATGTTTTGTAACTCTTCAAGTGATGGTTACATCTCAGGGTGATTACATAACGCTTGAGTATACTTAATGAAATAATTTTTCTAGGAGGAGCTTGTGATAAATAGCTCCAGAAAACCCTGTGACTATCTTGGAAAGTTTCTTGCTTCTTCTTAACAAACGGAACAAGAAACAGAGCCTCACGCATTTAAATTTCATGTTCTCTTAGTACCTTGTGCTCCCAATGTCACTAGATTGTGAAAGTTCTTCAACCTCTTCTCACTTACTTTACTAGGGGGAGACATGACAAGCTTTACGTGTTGAAAATACAAAGAGCCTGACCCTACAGGAATCTTTCTTTCTGGCCTTTTTCATCGTGAGTACATGCTTTTGATTTTGATCATGGTTAAATAGAAAATATTTAAATTATAATTTCTATCCACAAGGATAAAATTTCTATCCACAATTTCTAACCAACAAGAGTCCCCGTGACTCACCTGGCACAGAGGTTGGGAAACTTCAAGTTGATTCCCAGGCCTAAGTATGGAACAGTCTTTATCACTTTCCAAAATGTAGCCTGTCCACATTTTCTTGTGCTGCATAAGCCCATCATCCCAATATAATACAGTAGAGAAAAAGAAACTGATGCTGAAATTCTCATGGGCTTTGATGAGCAGAAACTTGGTAATATAATTTTGATTTAGAAAAATAAAGAAACATGACATTTGTTATCCCTAGAGATTTATAAATTGATTCAAACTTATCATTACTGCACGTGGAGAATCCGTGCTTAGGAAGGACTACCTGTGTTTATTACTCAAAAAATCAGGGTAATTTGAGCAAAGTTGAAAAATGTTGACTAAAGACTCATCTTGGCCAGGGCACAGTGGCTCACACCTATAATCCCAGCACTTTGGGAGGTCCAGGCATGTGGATTGCTTGAGCTCAGGAGTTTGAGATCAGCCTGGGCAGCATAGTGAAACCCCATCTCTACAAAAATACAAAAAATTAGCCAGGTGTGGTGGCACGCCTGTGGTTCCAGCTACTTGGGAAGCTGAGGTGGGAGGATTGTTTGAGCATGGGACGTGAAGGTTTCAGTGAGCTGAGATTGCACCACTGCACTCCAGCATGAGTAACACAGCAAGATCCTGTCTCAAAAAAAAAAAAAAAAAAGACTCATCTTTAATCTGTTGTGATGATTTGTTCATTACGCTTAATATATATGATCTGCCCATAGCTTTAAAAAATGATGTAGTATTAGCCTGTAAATCCTCTTTTCTTTAGTATTACGTCTTCTAAAAGCTTATGCTGAATGCATACTTCCTCGGCTACCAACTCAGAAAGGAAAACGCCACTGGTATCCAAATCAAGTGTAGTAGACTGAGCCCTCTCCCTTGTAATTACTGCCACTCCCACTTCTCCAGACACTCTTTCCACCCCATCAGCTCACCAACAAAACTTACTTTCTATGTATGTTGCAGTGGCAAGCACTGGTCTGTTGTCCCTCTGGGCCTTAATCTTGAGTAAAAACTGGTTCTCCTTCTAGTGCTATATTCTTTTTGTTGCTCAAAACACAACACTACCACCTTGAAACTGTAACATTTCCTATTTGCTTATATTGTTGTTGGTATCTCTTTCTATCATCCCAGCAATACTCATGTATAAGATCTAGGGACTTCATGGCTCTCAAAGAATCTAAGCTCTCAATATCCCAAACTGAAGGCCCAACCCAGCCTTTGATCAGAATTATAAAGTGCATTTATTGCATAAAAAAACAGTTATCCTGAACACAAAAATTAGATGAAAATAAGATCCTTGGAAGTTTTTGCTGCATAGCCGTTTTAGATATATTTATTAAGCACCTATTGATCCATCACTAAATAAATTTACTGTGCATATTTGTTAATATTCAAGAAACAAAATGGACAAGTTCTCTGCTATTATTCTAGTAGTTATGGAGAGACAATAAATGTTTAACAAATAAATACATAATATTTCAGATGGCAAGAAATGCTAAAGAGGAAAAGTCAGGCAAGGGAGGTAAGGAGTGCTAAGAGCAGGGTTTCTATTTTATATGAGATAGTTCAGGAAGACATTACTAATGAATGACTTTGCAGCAGAAACTTGAAGAAATGAAGGAGTCAATCATGCAACTTCATGGTCAAAAAGCATTCCAGAAGAAGCAGAGAATCATTTCAAAGACCTTGTGGCAGTACTGTACTGTGCATGCAGGAGGAACAGAAAAAGAAAAAAAAAAAAAAAGCCAGTATGTACGAAACTGAGTCATCTGGAAGGGCAGTGGTTCTCAAATGTGGCTACACATTGAAATCACCTGGGGATATATTTTTTTAAATGATGCCTTGATTTACCAGCTCGATATTGTGATTCAAATGGTCTGGGGCATAACCAGGACATTAGGATTATTTTGAAAGCTTCCCCAGGATATTCTAATGTGCAACAAATTTGGACTAGAAAAATATGATAAGGTTGCCTAGCAATACTTGAACCCACAGTGTCTTTAACACAGAGTGGAATGAAAGGGTCTTTGTGTTGTTCTCCAACTGTCTACTGTTTGTTTCCGTGGCAAAGTAGGTTGAAAGTTGGATTTAACTAGGGTTGGAGATTTTTTAGGTAAATGCAAAGGAAAGAGAAATTAGCTGATACTCTGCCAGAGAGTGATTATAAAAAGGGACCATGGAATCTAAGGTGGGTAAGAAGAGAAGCTAGGACAGGAGAAGAGTAAGAAACAGTGTTAGGATCAACAAAGTGCTATTTAGGTCAAAGATTTGTTCCCTCAGATACTAAAAGGAGAGAGCTGGAAATATAGGCAGTGATGGACATAGTGATTAACAGAGGGGATATAGTTTTTGATAATGGACAGATCTAGCATAAGACATAGAAATATGTGGCTGAGCTAGAGTAAGAACAAAAATTATCGGAGGATAAGACAAAACAGAAACACCAAGGTTTTGACAGGATAGTCTACATGGTTATTAAAATCACTAAGAATTATGATAATAGCATTACAGAGAGTGATAGTAATGTAGGAATTAAAATATTCAAGGAAGTAAAGGGAGTAACCAGAAGTGTCTTTAAATGACCAAAAAAAAAAAAGAAAAAAAAAAAAAGGACCGGGCGCAGTGGCTCACCCCTGTAATCTCAGCACTTTGGGAGACTGAGACGGGTGGATCACGAGGTCAGGAGATCAAGACCATCCTGGCTAACACGGTGAAACCCCGTCTCTACTAAAAATACAAAAAAAAATTAGCTGAGCGTGGTGGGGGGCGCCTGTAGTCCCAGCTACTCGGGAGGCTGAGGCAGGAGAATGGCGCAAACCCAGGAGGCGGAGCTTGCAGTGAGCTGAGATAGCGCCACTGCACTCCAGCCTGGGGGACGGAGCAAGACTCCACCTCAAAAAAAAAAAAGGGAGAGACAGTTCCAGTAGTGGAGTCTGATAGCAGGAGTTTCAAAGCTGAAAAATTTTTAAGGAGGATGGAGAGAAATGGACTGGAAGCAGCAGTAAGGAGCAAAGAGCTACCCTATCCCCAGGACAGAAAATATCTACTCTATGAGGGGCCACAATAGAGACAGAGCTTCAAGGGAGTGCCAGGTTTCAGTGTGAACACAAAGGTGAAGGAAACATTCAAGAGAAGAGACAAAGATATTAGGGACCTTGCCAGTGATGGGCCATGGATCCTCTAGGGAAACGATTTGGCAACTGGAAGTGGAGAAAGAGCAATTTAGACTGTGAATGAAGACCTCAATCGAGAGGGGTGACTTGGTGTATTTGATGTGAATATGTGTCAAGCCATTCAGACAGTGTCAGGTATAGAGTAAGTGCTCTATAGTCAGCCACTATTGGTTGTATGGTGGCTGATGAGTACAGGGATATAGGTCATGATGGAATTAGTTCCAATGGACTCCTGGGATGGTTGCATTAATAAATACATGATTTGGGGGGAAAACTATGAGTAAAAGTCTTTACAAAAATTTGTGGAGTTCTGGTCTTGTATAAATGGAAGTAAATACAGGACCTAAAAAAAGGAATGGAGAACCTAGATCACCACAGCTCAATGAAGTTAAAGAAAAGCTGTTAAGAAAATACTTCACAAACCTCTGGAGAAAAAGAATGTCTTCAGTGGACCTGAAATTTTTAGGAATTCCTGAAAGCTAGAAAACAGCAGGGTACCAATGAGTATTGTGTGGTGGTTGTAGCTTAATGTTTACACACTCTCACATACTCTTCGCTTCAAATAATGGAGCCTAACTCCTCTCTCCTTGAGTGTGACCTTTGCTTAGTGACTTGCCACTAATGGAGTAGAATGTACAATAGGGACTGCATGTGACTTCTGAGGCTAGGTCATAAAAGGCACTGTGGCATTATCCTTGCTTTCTTCCTAGGATCAGTAGCTCTGGGAGACGCCAACTGTCCTATCTCTAAGGACACTAAGCAGCCCTGAAAGAGGGCACACATGGGAGAACTTAAGGTCTTTCGACAACAACCAGCTCTAACTCACTAGCCATGTGAGTGACCCCCTTGAATGCTGGTCCTCCAGCCCCAGTTGAGTCTTCTGATGAGCCCAAGAAAATACCTTGACTCATGAGAGGCTCTGATCCAGAACCAACCAGCAAAGTCACTCCCAGTGTCCTGACCCACAGAAACTGTATGAGCTGGTAATTTTTTTTAAATTATACTTTAAGTTTTAGGGTACATGTGCACAACGTGCAGGTCATCATTCTCAGCAAACTATCACAAGGACAAAAAACCAAACACCGCGTGTTCTCACTCATAGGTGGAAATTGAACAATGAGAACACATGGTCACAGGAAGGTGAGCTGGTAAGTTTTGAAGTAATTTGTTATGCATAAGTAGATGGTTAATACATTATGTTTGAGCTTTGATGTTAGACTGGACATACTTTTTTATTTTTTTAAAATAACTATAATTGGCATGTAATAATTGTACACATTGTGGAGTATATAGTGATGTTGTGATACATATATAGAGGGTAATTAGCATATGCATCATCTCAAACATTTATCATTTCCTTGTGTTGGGTACATTCAATATCCTTCTAGCTATTTGAAACTACATAATATATTATTGCTAACTTCAGTCATCCTACAGTGCTATAGAATGCTAGAACCTTTTTAAGTAGGAAAATTTTCTCATCCCTTTAACTCCTTTTTGGGGGCATGACCCATTACCCCCTACATTCTTCTTAAGCTGGATGCATACCAATTTAGGAACAGGACGGGGATGGGATGGGGTGGGAGTAGAGATCTTTCTCTTCACCTACTTACTGAACCTTGACTAATAGACTTCTCATCCTGCAGCAAGTCATGTACCTTGCACAGAGTGCAGAAGGTTTATATTTTTATAACATCCCTCAAAGCACAGAAAAGAGATGAATTTCTTAGTATAGTAATGCACAGGAGCTGTACTAAGAGGCAGTCACTCTTGGCAATGTAAAAAGTCTGATGGACTATAGATGTTTGACCCTGAGGCCATACCATCCACAGCATCTCTTTTGTTGTATTTATTCCCTCTACAATTTATTGAATTTTGCTTTCAAGCTACAAAAGCAGTACCTACTTGTTTGAACAATAAAACAACTGTCAGCATATAAAGAAAGTCAACAGTCTCTTCACTTTTCCTCATTCCCAAAGTAATCAGTGTTAACGGTTTATTCTCTACCCTTTTACCCCTTATCTTTCTGCATTAACAAATATAAAGATACCTATTTCCCTTTGTTTCTTTATGTTTACCAAGACTAAACCACACGCATTACTCTGCAATATGCATTTTTCACTTAGAATATGCTATAACTGTCACTTCAGATTAATACACACAGGTTTAACTCATTTTATGTAGCTGCATAATATTCCATAGTAAATATGGAGTATAATTTATTCAACCATTCTCCTGTTAATGGTTGTTTTACATATTTACAATTAAAACATAGTGTGACGATCATTCTTTTAAATATACTTTTACATACTGGGACCTATTAGGTTGTTAGACTTAGTGATTTATGAGTCAATGGGTATTTTTTTTAATTTTATAACAGTGTTCCAAGTAACTTTACAATATTTGTAGCCTTTCACAGTGATATCACCAATATATGAATCCCCATTTCTCCATATTCTTGGAAGGGCTGAAGAGTTCTAAACTTCTGTAACTTGAGGCAAAAATGATATCCCAATACTGTTTGACTTGCACTTCCCTGATTAGATGCTGAGCATCTTCTAATGTGTTTTGGGACACTGGCTATTCTTTCAGTATCCACAAGATTTGCTGAAGAAGACAAGAGAGGATGGATATTTTATTTTATTTTGTTTTTTGAATTTTAAAATTGAGTTGAATAGACTTTATTTTTTAGAACAGTCGTAGGTTCACAACAAAGTTGAGCAGAAAGTACAGAAAGTTCTCACATACCCTCTCCCCACTCCCACATACAGCCTCCCCAACCATCAATATCCAGCACCAGTTACAATCCATGAACCAACATTGATACATCATTATCAACCAAAGTCTAAAATTCTCATTAGCATCCTCTTTGTGTGTTGTACAGACTATGGGTTTTGACAAGTTTACAGAGACATATATCCACCATTATATAATCATACAAAATAGTTTCAAAGCACTGAAAAAAATCACCTCTGCACCACCCATTCATCTTTCTGATGATAGCCCCTGGGGATGTTGTTTATATAACTAAGTCATCTAACACAACCTGTTAAGAGAAAGTTAGATTCTTTCTGAAATGGGTAGATAGATATGGTAGAGATGGCTCCCAATGGCTACAGTGGAACTCTGGACTGATATCCTTCTGTTACCCAGCGTAATGCCTGTGTGACATAGCTGAATTTCTACTCTGCCCTAACTTTGCTGATCTTTAAGAAAAAGAATACCTGCAATAAAAATTTTCCTTTATAGCCAGACCAGCTGAAACTGGTTATAACCAAGAGAGATCAACTTCAAAAAAACCTCAGGTTTCATTATAATCTCATTTCCATGCTAAATGACACTCCTATCAGTGCTGTGACTGTTGACAATCGCCATGGCAATGACCAGAAGCCATAAAACGACAAAAAGGAAGGGAGAACTCTGGTTCCAGGGAGTTCACGGCCCATTTTTGGAAAACACATGAATATTTCTCCCCTTACTTGTAATGTCATTAAATAAACATTCATTAAAGAAATATTATATTTTAGCCCTCTCACCCTTCACTAGTGGAGAAATTGATTTGTGAGCCATGCCCCCACATCTGAATTCTATGGCCATCGAATAAAATTTGCTCTGCTTGATGCTCACTTTTCGTTTTGTATATTGGCTTCATGACAGGAAACAAGGAAAGACTCTATCTTTTGGGGGACCAGCTTTGTCAGTGACACTTCTGCTGAAGACAAGATGAATGATGCAGGCAATGTTGAATGCTACTGGATATCAAAACCTGATAATTTTTAGGGATACAGAAAAGAAGAGAGAAGCTTGAACTGTTGATTCAAGTCCTATTGAGTGGTCACTAAATTCACTCATACTACAAGTTCAGATACGCAGAGAAAATACAAATTCTTTATTGTCTATAGCTGATTGCTTCCTGCCAGGTCTCTAGTCATTGGTTAACAGGAATAAACAAGTGTATTACATAGTTAGTCTTAGTCCTATGCAGTAATTTCTACAGTTCATTTAGATAGTAGCCTCTCATTTGGAGAAAAACACAGTCTCTCAGGTAACCTTCCCCACCCTTGTCTCTCTTCCCAAGATCTTGTTGAAACCAAGGGCTAATCTTTTTAGTCACTTGCTTTTTGTTGATTGTTTTTAACCCATGTAGCTGAAAGCCACACTGCTAAACACTATAACTTAACCTTCATGAGCTCCTTTAGAGATAATGCTTCTGATGTATATGTCACCATGGTAACAATTGCTTAAGTTGTTTTCAGGAACTTGGGGGTCAGCTTTTGTCCAACTTAAACCAGTTAAGACCACTGACCTTTCAACTGGGCCTGCACAAATGCTCAAGAGGTGAGCTTTTGATGTCAAAGAGCCAAAGATTCTTCTCTCAAATCGTGATAACACCACCATTTTCTGAACATGCATCCTATAAGGAGCCATGAACACCAACTACACTTGTACACATCATCAGTTACCTCATTTATCCCTACTGCCAATCACTTTTCTTCATGCTTTAGACCACCTCGCTTCTTTACCCCATGAATATCCCTGAGCCAGCCTTATCTTCAGGGAAGCCGATTTGAGAGCTGTTCTCCTGTCTCCTCTCTGGGTTTCCCTATGAATAAATCTTTCTCTACTGCAAAACTCATTATATCAGTAATTTGCTGTCTGCATGATGGGCAGAATGAGCTTGGTTTTGTATCAATATCGGGTAGTAGTGAGAAGGGTGTGTGGGTGATGCTTCATAGGTGGAGAAAAGAGGAAAAAGTCTCCCTGTCTCTGCGTGTACCCACCGGTCTCCAGATCTCTACTGTTGTCCTCCTGCTGGTTGTAATTCTGTAATGATTAATTTGATATGTCAACTTAACTAGGCCATGATACTCTCATATTTCATCAAATATTATTCTAGTCTAGATATTTTCGTGAAGGTTTTCTTTCTTTCTTTTTTTTTTTTTTGAGATGGAGTCTCACTCTATCACCCAGGCTGGAGTGCAGTGGCGCAACCTCAGTTCACTGCGATGTCCACCTCCCGGATTCAAGCGATTCTGCCTCAGCCTGCTGAGTATCTGGGACTACAGGTGCCCACCACCATGCCGAGCTAATTTTTATATATTTAGTAGAGACAGGGTTTCAGCATGTTGGCTAGACTGGTCTTGAACTCCTGACTTCAGCTGATCCGCCCACCTCGGCCTCTCAAAGTGCTGGGATTACAGGTGTGAGCCACCATGCCCGGCCCTTCGTTAAGGTATTTTTAAGATCAGACTAACATTTAAATCAGTAGACTTTGAGTAAAGCAGATTATCCTTTATAATGTGCGTGGCCTCATCCAATAAGTTGAAAGCTTTAATAAAAAGAGACTGACCTCCCTGAAGAGGAAGGGATTCTGCCAGCAATCCACCTTTAGACTCAAACTGCAACTCCTCCCTGGGTCTCCAGCCTGCTGCCTTACCCTGCAGATTTTGAACTTTCCAGCCTCCCCAATTATATGAGCCCAATTCCTAAAATAAATCTCTCTTTCTTGATAGATATATACATAGATAGATAAAGACAGGGTGATAGTTGCTTCCTTGGACCACCTGTCTTCTGGTTTATCTGGACAAAAAGATACAAACATATACACACACTTATATGTATATACATATGCATATATGTATATACATATGTGTGTATATATATGTGCATGCACACACACACACACACACACACACACTGTAGTCTGTGGCTGGTGAACAGATGATCCACTCTTCTGGCTTGGGTTATTCTTCCATGACATCACCCATATCTTCCTGAGCCAAGGTGTACTCCCAGCTTTGGGTGTTTACCACATCTTCCTGCAGAACCCTTAGCTTGGCAATTCTCTCCTCTTCTCCAGCCTCAGTTGTGTTGTTTACTTTCCTTGCCACAAGTTTCCCAGAAGTCCCATATCTCTTGATCTATTGTCCTTACCTAAAACCGCTGAGAGTGTCTTGGAAATGTCCTTATGCATTCTCTCTTATCTAGGTTGAGCTGCCTTGTTTTGGACTGCAGGCTCCTGCACATCAGATATCTGGAATTCAAAATCAGATCTGAGTCAGGAGCTCTCTGTTCTTAACATTGCCTTTACTTCTCAAATGTTCCCTTCACCCAGTCCGAGCTGAAGACCCACATTTTGAATATAAGACTCTCCTCCCTCACACTGATCTTCTTGTCCCTCAGTGGAAAGGGAGCAGGGTCTTCTTAGACTTCCCTTATTTTTATCTGTTTTGTATATAAAGAATCAATCCTCATGGAATAGCTACTAAAGGTAGAAATACCTTCTTCTCTACACTATAGGAAAACTTTAGAATTTACTTTTCCTCAGGGCTAATTGTTGATAGGTAAGCTATGTATGGGAGGAATGGAGTGCTTCTAAAATAATTTAGCAAATTATTTCATAGCACAGTAATCTAGCTTGTAAAGTTATTTACCTATTGCATCATCTCATTGTGTCAGAAGCCAAGTATTGTCTGGGTCTTCCTTCTTTCATCTCTTCTATAACATTTATTAGCATTTTCCTCACCCCCACTCTATCCCAGATGGAGCCACAGGCCAACTAGGTGAAGGACACAGCCTCAGCATGTCAAAAGAGAAACACTTATATTATGCTCACGGTGTACTCTTCTAAACAGTTATTTATATTAATTTATTTAGTCTTCATAACGGCTCTACAAAGTAGACACTAATACCATTCCTGCACTTGAGGAAACTGGGGTACAGAAAGTTTAAAAGCTTGCCCAAAATCACACGGTTATAAGAAGCTGAGCCAGGACACAAACCCAGACAGTCTGGCTCCAACATCTTTGCTATTAATCACTCCTATAGCTGCTACTATATTCACTGTGAATCATGCTCCTGGAATTTTTGTGCCATACAGCAATCCTATCGGAACGCCAATTGAGAGTGATCTATTCTATCCTAAGCCCCCAGTTCATCTCTGTGTGGCCATTGTGGGTCCAAGTCCCTGGAATGATTTTTCTCTCAGCTTCACACTGGTGAGTCTGTCAGGGAAGGGATTAGCACAAACAGGTGAAATTCCATGCCAAGTCCCAAGCACAACGTCACAAATCACTTTTATCTTCCATGCGCTCTATGAAAGACATCTAAGCCACTTCCCTAAAATGACCTGATAGATTAGGCTTTTGTCACCCAAGTGCCAAGGACTACCTAAGCTTAAGGTATATGGTAGTGAACTAGGAATTTCTGGAGAATATAGCTGAGGAGAGAGGACAGTAAGGCCTCTGATGCTATGAACTGCTCTGGACTCTGGGCATGGCTAGCATGGACGCTCTAGCAGCTAGCTTGGTGCCTGCGCAAACACCCGCCCAAGTTTTGTGCTTGAAACCCAGTGTGTCCGGAATTGGTGGGTTCTTGGTCTCACTGACTTCAAGAATGAAGCCGTGGACCCTCGCGGTGAGTGTTACAGCTCTTAAGGTGGCGCGTCTGGAGTTTGTTCCTTCTGATATTCGGATGTGTTTGGAGTTTCTTCCTTCTGGTAGGTTCGTAGTCTCGCTGGCTTCAGGCGTGAAGCTGCAGACCTTCACAGTGAGTATTACAGCTCTTAAGGCGGACACCTGGAGTTGTTCATTGCGTGGCTGGAGTTGTTCATTCCTCCCGGTGGGCTCGTGGTCTCGCTGGCTTCAAGAGCGAGGCTGCAGACCTTCGTGGTGAGTGTTACATCTCATAAAAGCAGTGTGGACCCAAAGAGTGAGCAATAGCAAGATTTACTGCAAAGAGCAAAACAACAAAGCTTCCACAGTGTGAAAGGGGACCTCAGCGGGTTGCCACTGCTGGCTCCAGGCAGCCTGCTTTTATTCTCTTATCTGGCCCCACCCACGTCCTGCTGATTGGTAGAGCCCAGCGGTTTGTTTTGACAGGGCGCTGATTGGTGCCATTTACAATCCCTGAGCTAGACACAAAGGTTCTCCAAGTCCCCACCAGAATAGCTAGATACGGAGCGTCCATTGGTGCATTCACAAACACTGAGCTAGACACAGGGTGCTGATTGGTGTATTTACAAACCTTGAGCTAGATACAGAGTGCTGATTGGTGTATTTACAATCCCTGAGCTAGACATAAAGGTTCTCCAAGGCCCCACCAGAGTAGCTAGATATAGAGTGTCCATTGGTGCATTCACAAACCCTGAGCTAGACACAGGGTGCTGACTGGTGTATTTACAATCCCTGAGCTAGACACAAAGGTTCCCCACATCCTCACCAGACTCAGGAGCTCAGCTGGCTTCACCCAGTGGATCCCGCACCAGGGCTGCAGATGGAGCTGCCTGCCAGTCCCCCGCCATGCACACGCACTCCTCAGCCCTTGGGTGGTCGATGGGACTGGGTGCCATGGAGCAGGGGGCGGCACTCATTGGGGAGGCTCGGTCGGCACAGGAGCCCACGGAGAGGGTGGGAGGCTCAGGTATGGCGGGCTGCAGGTCCCGAGCCCTGCCCCACGGGAAGGCAGCTAAGGCCCGGCGAGAAATGGAGCGCAGCACAGGTGGGCTGGCACTGCTGGGGGACCCAGTACACCCTCCACATCCGCTGGCCCGGGTGCTGAGCCCCTCATTGCCCGGGGCCGGCAGGGCCGGCCAGCTGCTCCGAGTGCAGGGCCCGCCAAGCCCACGCCCACTCGGAACTCCAGCTGGCCCGCAAGCGCCACGTGCAGCCCTGGTTCCTGGCGCCTCTCCCTCCACACCTCCCTGCAAGCTGAGGGAGCCAGCTCCGGCCTTGGCTGGCCCAGAAAGGGGCTCCCACAGTGCAGCGGTGGGCTGAAGAGCTCCTCAAGTGCTGCCAAAGTGGGAGCCCAGGCAGAGGAGGCGCCGAGAGTGAGCGAGCGAGGGCTGTGAGGACTGCCAGCATGCTGTCACCTCTCACCAGGACCCTGGTAGTGTAGGCTCAGGAGAGACTCTCCTACTCTGTAGATTGCAAAAATCTGTGGGAAAAGCATAGTAGTTCTCGGGGTGGGTAGCACAGTCCCTTACTGCTTCCCTTGGCTGGAGGGAGGGAGGTCCCCTGGCTCCTTGCACTTCCCAGGTGAAGCAACACCCCATCCTGTTTCTGCTTGCTCTCTGTGGGCTGCACCCGCTGCCTAACCAGTCCCAGTGAGATGAACTGGGTACCTCAGTTGGAAATGCAGAAACCACCTGTCTTCTGGGTTGGTCTTGCTGGAAGCTGCAGACAGGAGCTGTTTCTCTTCAGCCATCTTGGCCTGTCCCCCCATACAAATTTTAAATAGGTTTCTTTTTTATGGCTGCAAAGAATGTCATTGGTATTTTTTTTTTTTTTACTTTTTTCTTTTTTAAAAAAATTTTATTATTATTATACTTTAAGTTTTAGGGTACATGTGCACAACGTGCAGGTTTGTTACATATGCATACATTTGCCATGTTGGTGTGCTGCACCCATTAACTCATCATTTAGCATTAGGTATATCTCCTAATGCTATCTCTTCCCCCTCCCCCCACTCCACAACAGTCCCCGGTGTGTGATGTTCCCCTTCCTGTGTCCATGTGTTCTCATTGTTCAATTCCCTTGATAAGAATTGCATTGACTCTGTAAATCACTTGGAATACTATGGACATTTTAACAATATTGATTTTTCCAATCCATACACACACAATATCTTTCCACTTAGTTGTTATCTCTTCAATTTCTTTCATCTCTGTTTTATAGTTTTCATTGTGGCATTCTTTCACCATCTTGATTAAATTTATTCCAAGGTATTTTATTTTTTGTAGCTATTGTAAATGGGATTGCTTTCTTGATTTCTTTTTTAGATTATTCATTATTGGTGTACAGAAATGCTACTGACTTTTGTATACTGATTTTTTATTCTGAAACTGTATTGAATTTGTGTATTAGTTCTAGCAGTTTTTTGGTAGAGTCTCTAGTGTTTTCTACATATAAAATCATGTCCACTGGAAACAGGAATAATTTGACTTCCTCCTTTCCAATTTGTATGCCTTTTTTTTTTCCTTTCTTTTCCCTAATTGCTCTGGCTAAGACTTCCAGTACTAAGGTGAACAGGAGTAGCAAAAGCTGGTATTATTTCCTATCCTAGATTTTAGGGGGAAAGCTTTCTACTTTTCCTAATTTAGTATGGTGTTAATGTGGATTTGTCATATATAGCCTTTATTGTGTTGAGATATGTTCCTTTTATATCTAAGTTACTGAGAGTTTTTATCATGAAAGGATGTTGAATTTTATCAAATGCTTTTTCTGTATCCACTAAAGTGACAGTTTTTCTCCTTGATTCTGTTAATATCATGCATCATGTTTATTGATTTGTGTGTGTTGAATCATCCTTGCATGCCTGAAATGAATTCCACTTGAGTATAGTGAATGATCTTTTTAATGTGTTGTTGAATTCAATCTGCTAGTATTTTGTGGAGTATTTTTGTATGTATGTTCATCAGAGAAATTTGCCTGTAGTTTTCCTTTTTTGTTGCTGTTGTGTCTTTGTCTGGTTTTGGTACCAAGGGATGCTGGTCTTATACAATAAATTTTGTATTTTCTTTAATATTTTAGAATAGTTTGAAAAGTATTTGTATTGGTTCTTCTTTAACTGTTTGGTAGAATTTAGCACTGAAATCATCAGCTCCTGGACTTTTCTTTGGTGGGAAACCTTTTATTTCTGAATCAATCTTCTTACTCATTATTGATCTGTTCAGAATTTTTATTTCTTCATGATTCAATTTTAGTAGGTTGTATGTGTCTAGGAATTTATCAATTTCTGTTAATGGTTTTCCAATTTATAGGCATATAGTTGTTTATAATAATCTCTAACAATCCTTTGTATTTCTTTGATATCAGTTGTGATGTCTACTTTTTCATCTTTAACTTTATTTATTTTAATCTTCTCTCTTTCTTACTTGGTCTAGCTAAAGGTATGTCTGTTTTGTTTATCATTTAAAAACTCTTTGTTTTATTGATCTTTTGTAATTTTATAGTGTAATTTATTATTTCTTTTCTTTTAATATTTTTGGGTTTAGTTTGTTCTTGTTTTTCTAATTCCTCAGGTGCAACATTATGTGGTTTATTTGATATCTTTCAAATTTTTGGTGTATGCATTTATTGCTATAAGTTTTCCTCAAATAACTGCCTTTGCTGTATCTAATAGCCTTTGGTATGTTGTATTTTCATTTTCATTGTTTGAAGAAAATTTTAATTTCCTTTTTAATATCTTAACTGACCCATTTGTTATTCAGGACTCTATTGTTTAATTTTTGTATACGTTGCTTGTTTTCAAGATTCCTCCTGTTATTAATTTCAGATTTTATCCCACTGTGGTCAGAAAAGATGCTTGATATGATTAAGATATTTTTACATTTTTTTGAGACTTGTTTTATGGCCTAACATGTGATCTGTCCTGGAGGACATTCCATGTGCTGATGAAGACTGGATTTTATAGCTGTTGGGTGGAATATTCTGTAAAAGTTTCTTAGATTCATTTTATATAGAGTCCATTTGAAATCCAATGTTTCTTTACTGATTTTCTTTCTAAATGATCTGTCCATTGCTAAGCATGGGGTGCTTAAGTCCCCTACTATTATTAAATGTTACAGTTTATCTCTCTAATTAGATTTATAACATATGCATTATATATTTGACTATCCAAGTGTCAGATGCATATAAATTTATAGTTGTTATGTCCCCTAGTTGAATTGACACCTTTATAACCATCTTTGCATCTTTTTACTTTTTTAACTTAATGTCTAGATCTAAGTATAACTACTTTTGCTCTCTTTTGGCTTTCATTTGCATGAAATATCTCTTATCCCGTTTCCATAGAATATCCTTTTTCATCCCTTTACTTTCAGTGTATGTGTGTCCTACAGGTAAAATGACTCATTTGCAGGCAGCATCTAAATGGGTCTTTTTTTCTTTTTTATCAATTCACTCACTCTATATCATTTAATTGGATAACTTAATCAGTTTACATTCAAGGTTATTACTGATAGGTAAAAACTTACTACTGTCATTCTGCTAGTTATTTTCTGGTTATTTTATAGATCTTTTGTTCTTCTCCCTCTCTTGTTGTTTACCTTTGTGGTTTAGTGATTTCTTTAGTGATAAGTTTTGTTTCCTTTCTCTTTTTCATATGTGTATCTGCTGTAATTTTTTAAATTACTCTGGGTTTACATAAAACATTACAGCTATAAAATACCATTATAAGTTGGTAACAACTTAGCTTTGGTCACATACAAATATTCTAGACTTTTACCCTCTTCCCCACAATTTTTCATTTTGTTGCCTTAATTAAAATCTTTCTATGTTGTGTATTTCTTAACAGTGTATTTAGTTTTGGTAATTGTAGATG